>NC_000001.11:230881091-231032606 GCF_000001405.40 Homo sapiens
ATCAGTGTTAGCGATGAGAATAAAACTCAGAGGCTGGAATCTCAAACTAGTGTACTATCACAGTATGTTACTCAATGCACACTGATTCATTTGTTCATTCATTCATTCGTTCGTTGGTTCATTCATTCTGTGCCAGACACTGTGCTAGGCTCCCAGAAACAACAATGAGCATAAGACCCAGCTCATATCAAGCGTATCATCTAATAGATGAGGCAGAGAATGAAAAGCACACAGACAAAATCACTAGACCGTGCTAAGTGCCATGAAGAAAGCAAGCATCCATTGAATCCTTACGGTGCCTGTCATTTGTTCTCATAGCATCCCTATGAAGAAAGTATTTTACAAGTAAGAAAGCAGAATCTCAACAAGGTCAGGTGCGTGCCCAAGGCCTCACCACTCACAGGTGGCAGAGCAGGAATCTCAACACACTACCCTTTCCCTCCAACAGCCATTCACCATGGAGCCAAAATGCATCCACACACTCCCAGAGCCAGTCTCGGAAGGATAGACAAACACCAGGACTGTGCCAGAACTCCCTTTTCCTTCTAGTGTTGTGTCTCTTCTTCCCTGTTCATCAAGGAGAAGACGCTGGTGGATGGCACAGCCTCAGGGAGGAATGGTGTCTGTCTTCAACGCTTACGAAGCTGTGAGACATTCTCCAAACTCCTGCTCCAAAGAATATGTCCATTCTAAGCAGTATATACACAGCAGAGTTAAGAAGCGTTAGTAGGGGCCAGTGTGGTAGCTCACACCTGTAATCCCAGCACTTTGGGAGGCCGAGGTGGGTGGATCACTTGAGGTCAGGAGTTTGAGACCAGCCTGGCCAACATGTTGAAACCCTGTCTCTACTAAAAATACAAAAATTAGCCGGGCATGGTGGTGCGTGCCTGTAATCCCAGCTACTCGAAAAGCTGAGGCAGGGAATGGCTTGAACCCGGGAGGCGGAGGTGGCAGTGAGCCAAGATCGCACCACTGCACTCCAGCCTGGGTGACAGAGTGAGATTCAAAAAAAGAAAAAGAAAAAAGAAAATAAAAAAGAAGAAGCATTAGCAAGTCCCTCTGAAACGGGAAAGGTTCCCTTGTCCCTCACAGGGCATGCAATGGGGTATGGCTCGCTTCTTCAGTGCCCCGCTGCTCACACCTCTAGGGGAGCATTCAGATGGGCAGGCTGAGGGGCTCTGACCCCATGGCAGTATCCAGGGGTGAATGTTTACAGCTGAAGCCCCAGTGGGCGTGTGTT
Organism: Homo sapiens; assembly: GCF_000001405.40. Classification (NCBI taxonomy): domain Eukaryota; kingdom Metazoa; phylum Chordata; class Mammalia; order Primates; family Hominidae; genus Homo; species Homo sapiens. The sequence continues at coordinate 230,882,332 of NC_000001.11, forward strand.
ACAGGATGCTCTTTTAGTTTAGCCATCCGTAGGCGGCTTGTGTTAGTCAGCTCAATTGGACCCCTGCCTTATCGCCAGGACAGAGGGCTTTCTGTGTCCCGGGGTTCTTGCCTTGGTGTACCGGAAGAATCAGATCACACCTGCACTTGGGGAATGAGTTCAGGTTTTTTGAGTGAGAATAACTCTTGGCAGATGGGGGAAGCCAGAAGGGGATGGAGTGGGAAGGTTTTCCCCTGGAGTCAGGCTACTGAGCGGCCAACTCTTCTCTGACCACCCCAGCTAAACTCTGAGTTGTTCTGCTGGTCAGTGGCCTGCCGGCCTGCCGGTACCTGTCAACGTGCTCTTAACATCCAGCCGCCTGTGTGTTTACCTGCTAGGGTCTCAGGGTTTTTATACGCACAGGATAGGGACGTGGCAGGCCAGGGTGGTCTTGGGAAATGCAACATTTGGGCAGGAGAACAAAAATCCCTGTCTTCACCTAGGTCTGTAGCCATGGGTCTGGGGGTGGAGCCCTAGCCAGGGACCACGCCCTAGGATGGAAAGACGTTCTCTCTGCCCTGGGTGGCATAATAACAAGGCAGATAAAGGCTATATTGGAAATAAGCAGAAGGCACAGTGGGCTCCGCAGAGGAAATGCGTAACTTTCTTGTAGGAGGAAAAGAACAAAGGGTGAAGGATAAGAAGGTTCACCTAGCACAATGGTAGGGGAAGAATGGTGTGAAAGAGGTGGCAGAGTCTCTCAGCCCTGAGAAGAGACAAAGCATGGGGCCAGGGATCGCTCCGACTGCCGGGACAGGGTACTCACAGGAGAAGAAGTGTGGGCGGGGAGGGTGGAATGGCGGAGACCTTGAGGGTCCACATTGAGTCAGAAGCTGCCTCTATTGCTCCCTCATCTGCTTCCCTGGCTCCACTCCTTTTGGGGTGAAGAACTGGCTTTATCTCACCACAACATCTTCTGACTCTCCTGTGTTTGCCTCATGATGGTCACAACTAAGCTTGTGAAACTTAAAAACCAAAAATGGGCCAGGCGCGGTGGCTCACGCCTGTAACCCCAGGAATTTGGGAGGCAGAGGCAGGTGGATCACGAGGTCAGGAGATCGAGACCATCCTGGCTAACATGGTGAAACCCCATCTCTACTAAAAATACAAAAAATTAGCCGGGCGTGGTGGCGAGTGCCTGTAGTCCCAACTACTCGGGAGGCTGAGGCAGGAGAATGGCGTGAACCTAGGAGCCGGAGCTTGCAGTGAGCCAAGATTGTGCCACTGCACTCCAGCCTGGGCGACAGAGCGAGACTCCGTCTCAAAAAAAAAAAAAAAAAAAAGCGAAACCACCTCTTTTTCTCCTACAGACACAGCCAAGCACATATAAATCCAAAGTATCCTGGGTGGCCACTTAGCTGCTGTGGCCAAGTTTAGAAATGTGGTGAAAAGGACAGCTGACCTCTGTGTTCTGCTGGGCACCTCTGTACCCTCCCTTCCCTGGGCAAATGATTCCCCAGCCGTGAAGGTTTATGCCTGTGCGTGGTGGAGGAGTTCTCAGGCTGAGGAGGAAAGTGTCTCCTCAAAGAGGCACGGAGGGGGCTCTGGAGCCCAGCCACCTGCATTCCAACCCCAGCACCAGTGTTCTGGAGTGTGACGCCAACAGACTACCTCCTGTGCCTCAGTTTCTACATATGTCAAATGGGATAGTAATTCCAAAAAAAACCACTGCAGGATTTTTTTTATTTAGGTTAAGTTTTTTTATTTAGATTTGAAGCCAGCTGTGTGGGGAGAAGGAGCGAGCAGTCCAGGGAAATAGTTGGAAGGGAGGCTGAGAGTAGGAGGGTGAAAGCCCGCCAGCCCAAGCAACAGGGAGGGAGTGGAGAGCAGAGCTGAGTGCCTGGAGGCAATGAATCCGCCTTTGCAAAATGATGACAGTAAGAGAAATCTAACATAGCTAACTCTATCTTGCTTCTAACCTTCAAGCTTTTCTTGTTTATTCCTGGGTATAGACCAAGCTAACTTTGAAAGGAATTTAATTTATAGTTTAACCTTAAAGCAAGGATGATAATAACCCTTCCCAAAACTAAACTGCCTTTATAAAACTAATGAAAGTCCACAAGGTTAGGATCATGAGAGGGATGTAGGCATAGTTAAATGGAACCAGCCACTGTTCTGGAAGTCAAAAGATTTGTAACGTCCCCAGTTACTCCTATAGATAACATCATTATTGTAGAACCTAAGATTTTTTTTAAGTTGTTTTTCTAACTTGCATTTCTGACAACTGACTGACCCCACTGGGCCCTGTGGCCCCCATCTAGAGAGGCAATGAAGACCATACCCTTGTGATTTCATCCCTAATCAATTAGCAGCACCCATTCCCTCACCCCCTGCCCACCAAATCATTCTTTAAAAAACTCAGTCTCTGAATTTTGGGGGGAGACTGATTTGAGTAATAAACCCCCGGTCTTCTGCTTAGCCAGCTCCATTTAGTCAACTATTTCTCTGTTACAATACTGCCGTCCTGGTAAATTGGCTCTATCTATGCATCAGGCAAGAAAAACCTATCAGACAACAACAGTAAAAGGGGCTGGGTTCCAAGAATGCTGGGTTGGAAGTGACCAGGCTTGCCCTGAGAGTTGTTACTGCCCCAGGATTCTTATGGTCTCAGCACCTTGGGCAAGGGAGATGGCACCAGAGAGACCCTCAGATGGCACCTACCTCTTGCCCTGGGGTTTGTCCTATCTTCCTCCAAATGTGAGCATGTCCTTACTTAGCCCAGGAAGGCTGAGAAGGACAGAAGGCACTCTGGGGACTTCCTGTGGCTTATCTGGGGGCACCTCTGAAGGATCAGAGATGTGGTCCAACAGGACAGAAGCCAGCAGGGGACACTGCAGCCTGATGCAGAGGGGTGTGAGGTAGCACTGGGCTATTTTAGGAGGGTCAGGTCCTTGTGCCTTGGAAGAGATCAAAGCTACCCCTCCACCTCCAGGCTATGTTCTCTCCCTCTGCCCGGAGCTGCTTGGCTATGTTTTCTCCTTCTGCCTCTCTGGGGCAGCTTGGCTGGAAAGAAACCAGTATTGTCCATTTGTCATCCAAATGCACATGGGGCATTTCCTACCTTTTTCCTCTGTCTCTCCAAAGTGGACAGATTCCCCTCCATTCCATTTTTCTCACCACCTCCAGACTCTGGTCCTCTCCTCCCACCCTCTGTCCCTTCAAGCCAAGGCCCTCCCCTCAACACACCTCCATATTTCACTCTGCCTCCTGATTGCCAAGCCTAGGTAGGGTCTTCCTCTGGTTCTCACCCTCCTCAGTGCCTCTGCTGAATGAGACAGGAGGCTGTGGTGGTTCTGGTCCCCTGAGGAAAACTCTCTTCTTTCAGGCTTTCATTGTTGTCCTGGATTTGTTTTTGCTTTTCTCAGCATTTCTTTTCCATGTTCTTATCCTTCTTCAAGGTTGAAGGCCCGGGCTTTGCTCCTCTATTTGCCTGCCCTGTCTCACATTTTCCTATAGCATCCACTGCTTCTCTGCCAGCATTTCCCCGCTATGTTCCTTAGGGCTCCAAGGAATAGGAAATGCTGCTTCACAGGCAGTTGAGAGGCTGCATTTCCACCAGGCTTCCTGATTCTGCTGCTATTGCGGCCTGTGATCCACACTTTAAGTAGCAGATGCTAGAAAACAGGTGCCAGGCAGACACCGGAATTCTCTACTTCAGAAAGCAAGAAGCATTTGGGATTTACTTGTAGGACAGTATGAGACTGCCTGGGAGAAGGAGACAGCAGGAGCCCAGGAGACTTGGAGAGAGACAGTGAGAATGGCCGCAGGCCTTCCCAACAATTTGAAATTGTTTGCACTGTGCAGGTGTGTGGGAAAGCCCCCACTGCTGCTTCTCCCTCCAATTCAGGAAAACATGCTATGTATTCAGTGTGGGATCAAAGCAAGAATATAAACAGAGGGTCCTATACCATGTGTCAAAATATCTAGAAGTTACTAACTTGACTTGAAAAATACACCTTCACAGAGACCTAGGTGTCCTGGATTGAACTGAGAAGCTTCTGAATCCTTGGACTTTCAACTGAATTGAGCATTCAGGGGGACAGGCCCCAGGTTCCTTCTCTTCCCACTCAGCCCTGACTGGCACTGGGGAGGGCCTCAGTATGGACGTGTGGATACGCCGGCCCAAACAGCTGAATCACTGTTTAGTGCTGTCATATCTGCACTTAATTCCACCCATTGGATTACATACATTCAGCAAAAGCAAACGTAATAATAATGATTATTTTTTGTTTTTGTTTTTGCTTGAGACAGAGTCTTGCTCTGTCACCCAGGCTGGAGTGCAATGGCCAATCTCGGCTCACTGCAACCTCTGCCTCCCTGGTTCAGGCAATTCTCCTGCCTCAGCCTCCTGAGTAGCTGGGATTACAGGTGCCTGACACCACACCTGGCTAGTTTTTGTATTTTTAGTAGAGATGTGGTTTCACCATGTTGGCCAGGCTGGTCTCGAACTCCTGACCTCAGGTGATCCACCCACCTCAGCCTCCCAAAGTGCTGGGATTACAGGTGTGAGCCACCGCGCCCAGCCTGATAATTGTTTTTTAAAGGAGAGGGACAGAAGAACTTTACATAAGCTCACGCCTGAAGTGAACATGGGTAAGGACATACAAATCTGCTGTTAGTCTCTTAGTGGGTTTCAGCTCTTGTTTGCCTTGCATGGAGGGAGTGTTAAAAATACACCTTTTATCCAAAAAGGCCTTCCAAATGCAGGTCAATTACATTATCTGGTATTTAACAGAACAAAGCACAATCTATTCCCCTGCTAGAGACAAGAAATGTGTCTTTTTGTTTTTTCTTAGAGATGAGGTCTTGCTATGTTGTCCATGCTGGAGCACAGTGGCTATTCATAGGTCGAAACATAGCGAACTACAGCCTGGAACTCCTGACCTCAAGCTGTCCTCCCACCTCAGCCTCCTGAGCAGCGCAGACTACAGGTGCATGACACCGTGCTCAGCTACGAAATGCGTTCTGTTGTTGTGGGGTTTCTGGAGACATAGTTTGTTAGATTTTAATATAGCATCTTCTTAAGAGATTTTTCTTTCTTTTTTTTTTCTTTTTTTTTGAGACAGAGTCTCACTCTGTCTCCCAGGCTGGAGTGCAATAGCACGATCTCAGCTCACTGCAGCCTCCACCTCCTGGGTTCAAGCGACTCTCCTGCATCAGCCTCCCAAGTAGCTGGGATTACAAGCATGTGCCACCACATCCAGCTGATTTCTTTTTGTTGTCGTTGTTGTATTTTTAGTAGAGACGGGGTTTCACCATGTTGGCCAGGCTGGTCCTGAACTCCTGACCTCAAGTGATCAGCCCACCTTGGCCTCCCAAAATGCTGGGATTATAGGCATGAGCCACCATGCCCAGCCTTCCTTAAGAGATTTTTAAGGGTAATTTTCATTATGCTCAATATTACCTTATACATGGCACTATATAATCAGAACAGTTTTTTAGAAACTGTACCAAAATAGGATGACCCAGGAGAGCTACCAGAGACAGGAGACCAGGTAAGAGGCTGTTGCTTCTATACAAGAAAGAACAGGTCTCAAGTAGGATGGTGGTTGTAGGTCTGGGAACATACAGGTGTCAGATATCACAAAGAAATACTCGACAGAGCTTGGGCATGGGTTAAAGATAAGAGTCAAAGAAAAGGAAGAGGTCACCGCTGTCCAGTTTTAAGCTTGGATAACTTGGAGAATGGTGAAACAAGGAGCAGAAATGAGTCAGGAGGAAGAACTGATTTCTGGGGGAAGGATTTGAAGAGTCTGGCTGCACACAATTTGAGTTTGAGGGGCTGATGATCCATGCAGGTACAGAGGATTTGTAGCCAACTGGAAATGCAAGACTAGAGTTGGCAGGGAAGCTAGCACTAGAAATGGTGCAGAGATGATGGTTGAAACCACGAGAACAGATACAGTCAGTGAAAGAACTAAAACAAGAGAGACCTGGCCGGGTGCGGTGGCTCACGCCTGTAATCCCAGCACTTTGGGAGGCCGAGGAGGGTGGATCACCTGAGGTCAGGAGTTTGAGACCATCCAGGCCAACATGGTAAAACCCCGTCTCTGCTAAAAATACAAAAAATTAGCGGGGCATGATGGCGGGAGCCTGTAATCCCAGCTACTTGGGAGGCTGAGGCAGGAGAATTACTTGAACCCGGGAGGTGGAGTTTGCAGTCAGCCGAGATCACGCCACTGCACTCCAGCCTGGGCAACAAGAGCGAGACTCTGTCTCAAAAAAAAAAAAGAGAGAGAGAGACCCAGGACAACCACGGAATGTGGTCGCAGTTAAGGATGGGACTGAGGCATGAGAGGGCTAAGGCTGCAGAGAGGAACCACGTCAGGGGCAGGAGCAAAACCTGCCCTCTTTTAAGCCATCCTTGGTGTTGATGGCAAATGATCTTTCTAATTCTAGTCAAATCATTCCCATGCTTTACAGTCTACATACAGAGAATGAAGTCCAAATTCCTGAGGATGATGGCAAGACCCGCCCCTCTGCCCCTCACTTCCTTTCCAGCTGCATCTGCAAGCCATCCCAAGCACACTAGGCACGTTCATCTCTCTGAACATTTCCTCCCAACTTTGCCTCTGCTGGGAAGGTCCTTGGCTACCTGGCACATTTCTACTCCGCCTCTGCGGTCCCATACTCTCCACACCTCCTCGGCATAGCCGCCGCATACATAACTGCCGCACAGCTATCCACCTCAGGTGGAAATAATTGGGTCCTTTTGGCTTTCCCACAGCAACTTTGATATAGCTCTTTTAAAATCATTATCACTTTGTCTTATTACGTATCACTTCTTTCCGAATCGAGCCTGAGATCAAGCAATCCAGAGCAGGGAAGCAAAAAAAAAAAAAAAAAACGTCAACAAGAAAGCAGACAGAAAAGAGCAGAAGCCAGGGGAAGGCTAGGTCCATGGACAGAGGGTGGGGAGGGGTCAGATCAGAGGTTAAGGTAGAAATGAGTGGAAGGCAGCGCCAGAGCAGGTTCCACTACCAGTAGACGTGGGAGTGGGTAACAGTTTGAGTGAAACTGATGGTAGCTGGTGGGAAAGGCTTCTAGAAGCTTCTAGAAGCTCTGCCCTGGTGTTGACACACTAGTCATCTCTCCTGAGATTTAATAACATAATTATCTGATTCACCTTGGCTTTTTTTCCTTTGACTTTTCCAGATTCCGTCATATCTCCGAGACTCCAAGTAAACCTGTGTCCAAATGTCTCATAGGATGCTCCCAGGAACGGCTTGATCCTCGTTTTTGAAACTTCAAGTGCTGGCTAAGTAAGGGGATGTATTTATTAGTCCATTCTCGAAAGGCTATAAAGAAACGCCTGAGTCTGGGTAATTTATAAAGAAAAGAGGTTGAATTGGCTCACAGTTCTGCAGGCTGCCCAGGAAGCATGGCTGGGAAGGCCTCAGGAAAGTAATGGAAGGTGAAGCGGGAGCAGGCACTTCACATGGCCAGACCCGTAGCAAGCAGAGGAAAGGGGGTGTGGGGGCCGTGCATCTTCAAACAACCGGATGTCAGTAACAAGGCAGGGTGGTGCTAGACCATGGGAAACGGTCCCCACGATCCAATCACCGCTCACCAGACCCCACCCACCTCCAACCCTGGGGGTTACAACTCAACATGAGATTTGGACTGGGTCACAGATCCGAACCATATCGAGGAAGAAGCACCTAACTCAACCTCTCTGCTAGGAAATTACCAACTGAGAAATTCCCTTTGGATGCTTCCCTGCCCTCAAGCCTCTCACTTCACCCTAAAGAAAAACCGGCGGTTGATGTAGAACGATGGGATGGCCATTTTCCCCCGAAGAAGTTTCTCTTTTGAACCTGGCCAACTTTTTCAATCATATCTATCGTTAGGATTATTGTTATTCCGGAATTGCAGGCAATGTTTAAATTTTGCACCCAGTACTAAAGACACAGCTTTTTAAGATGTTTTAAAAACTTGATTTCTAAAACATGAAGACTTCAGGCCAGGACACTTTTCAAAATCTTTCCTTGAAAGATCTTAACTTTCAAGATATTGTAAGAAGCATTTAAAAAGAACATTACAAAACTATAAATAAGAGGTATTGAATGATTTTCTCCAAGCTATTTCTAAAAAGAAGCACTTATTTAGGTAACCTTTATTGTATTTGTTTATATGTTGGCTTCAGAAATTATAAAGTATTTGCCAGGTGTGGTGGCTCACACCTGTAATCCCAGCACTTTGGGAGGCTGAGGCAAGAGGATCACTTGAGGCCAGGAGTTGGAGGCTGAAGTGAGCGGTTATCATGCCACTGCGCGCCAGCCTGGGTGACAGAGCAAGATCCTGTCTCTTAAGATTAGAAAACAAAAATTATAAAATATCAAATGCAGAACATAAATTATGAGTTTTCTTCCTTTACATCTCAGATAATTTTGTCAGTTAATTTAAAAATTAACTTTGTTCTGATTATCAAAATAATAAATGTCATTAAAAATGTGGAAAACAGGCTGGGCATGGTGGCTCACGCCTGTAATCCCAGCACTTTGGGAGGCCAAGGTGGGTGGATCACTAGGTCAGGAGATCAAGACCAGCCTGCCCAACATGGTGAAACCCCATCTCTACTAAAAATACAAAAATTAGCTCGGTGTGGTGGCGCGTACCTGTAGTCCCAGCTACTCGGGCAGCTGAGCCAGGAGAATCACTTGAACCCAGGAGGCGGAGGTTGCAATGAGCTGAGATTGTGCCACTGCACTCCAGCCTGGCGACAGAGGGAGACTCCAGCTCAAAAAAAAAAAAAAAAAGTGCAAAATAGAGAAGACACAAACAAAATATAATTTTGCAAACATCCTATTAGATACACTTCTGGTCTTTTCTCCACATACCTGTATATATACAAAAAATAATAATACAATTCTTTTTATATGAGAAAGTTATCCTTATATAATAAAAATAAATATTACACTGTAACTTTCCCCTTTCAATCAATAATATTATGAATATTTTTCTAACTTTGTTCAATATTCTAATTAAAGTCATGTAGTATTCCAAATAAAAGGATACATAATTTATTTAATCAAACCTATTTTTGGGGGCTTTTACAGACACCAGAAGGAAGACCCTTAGGAAAACCCACCTTTCTTGGAACTCCACTTCCCTCTCCTCAGTGTGTGAGCAGGGCTGGTTTTGTACCATGCAACCCTGATTCCCTTGGAACAGGCCAGGGCCAATTAAGGGACTTTGCTTAGGAACCTGAAACTGTGACTCAGAGACAGGCCAGACAATCTCTGCGCAGCAGGGATTGAAAGAGAAAAAGAGAGAGAATCCTATTCTTTTGAAACGAGATTTTGAGGGATAGACTCAAAGTTCCTGGCTTCTCTACAGACATCCACTTCCTGTCCTTGCCTGAGGCCAGGCTGTGCCCTTGCAGGAAATTCACTCCTTTTGCCTAAGTTAGCTTAAATAGGTTTCTTGCCACCCAAAGAGTTCTACCTAATAATAAAGGAGTAAACATTTTTAAGGAGTTTTATACCTATTGTAAAGCTTTCTTCCAGAAAAATCACCTCTACATTTTAAACGTCTTGAATTTTGGTACAGAGGCGCCTTCTGGATATAGTTCTTGCTTGGAAGAGAGTCCACTGTTTAATGTTGATTGCTCCCAAAGGGAAAGAAGCAAGTATGTCCATTTGCAAGGTATCAACAGAGACTTAACTTGGATTTACAGGGCTGGATGTGTGCTGTCCATCACAGTTGATGCGCATAGGCACAGGACCTGAGTACAAGTGCAATTTTCCTTTTGAGAGGCTGAGGCTAGGGTAATTTTTCTGACTAATTTGAAACAGAGAACAGTTCCTGTAAATTGCGGTAATCCAAGCCCATTTGCAAGGAGGCGGTAGACTTAGGGGTCTGCTGCCATCATCTAAACATGTTAGCAACTGAATGTTAAATCCTTACTTCCTGGTAAGAGGTCTGTCCAGAAAAGGACTGAAGCATGAAGAAAGTGGAAGGGGGTTTCTGCAGAAAGTTTCTCCTCACTCTTCTTCTGAGGGGTTCGTAGCCACACCCCACAGTATGGACAACAGATGTTATTTCCCCATTGTTCACGTGTCCTCACACTCAAACCTTCCATGATTTGCTCTTTTGTTAATTTGCCGTCTTTTGCTTCTCATGATTTTTAACCAGCTGTTTGTTGAGAAGCTGGGCACTTTGACACTACACCGAGGCAATAGTCCTAAGGTCTGGCTGGACCATACAAATCTGGCTGCTTTCCTCACGTCACTTTTTGTTTTGTTTTGTTTTGTTTGAGATGAAGTCTCCCTCTGTCACCCAGGCTGGAATGCAGTAGCACGATCTCGGCTCACTGCAACCTCTGCCTCCTGGGTTCCAGCGATTCTTGTCCCTCAGCCTCCCAAGTAGCTAGGATTACAGGCGCGTGCCACCATGCCTGGCTAGTTTTTGTATCTTTAGTGGAAGACGGGGTGTTGCCGTGTTGCCCAGGCAGGTCTCCAACTCCTGACCTCAAGTGATCCACTCGCCTTGGCCTCCCAAAGTGCGTGGGATTAGAGGTGTGAGCCACCACACCCGGCCCCTCACGTCACTTTGAAAAGAGAAATTCCTCTGTTGCTCTTCAGCCCATCAGGGATCTGCCAAGTGACACCTGGCAAAGAACCACCCTATTTGACATCAGTGATCTCTCTGTGGCCCTGAGTTACCAAGTTGGTGGATGCCTTTTCACCCAGGTTTTATAACTAGCTTATTTATAATGCTCTAACACAAAACTAACAAAAGTATACTAAGCCAGGCATGGTGGCTTATACCTATAATCCAAGCACTCTGGGAGGCAGAGGTGGGAGGATAGCTTGAGACTAGGAGTTCAAAACCATCCTGGACAACATGACAAGCCCCATCTGTATTAAAAAAAAGATTTTAAATTTAGCCAGGCATGGTGGTGCATGCCTGTAGTCCTGCCTACTCGGGAGGCTGAGGCAGGAGGATTGCTTGAGCCCAGGAGTTCGAGGCTACAGGGAGCTAAGATTGCACTTTCAAAGAAGGATTGCAGGATGTCAGTGTCCCGTGGTCCCTCTTGCCCCTGTGTCCTAGCTCTTATCTCACTTGATCACAATTATTCATTTCTTCTGCAATAGGTGAAGCTGGTAAAGACCCAGGCTCTGGAGTCGGACTGCCTAGGTTCAAATCCCAGCTTCACCATTTGATCTCAGGTAATTTTCTTATGTTTTCTCTTCATCCATTTGCCCACAGGTATTGTTTTATTTCCCATTCCATGCATATCACATGAAGATTAAATGAGATAACATAAATAAGTGCTTAGCACACTGCCTGGCTAGTAGTAAGTGTTCAACAACCAGGAGCTATCATTATTGTTGTCATTATTATTATTTACTTGTCTATTTCCTAATCTGGCTATGAGTGGGCAGAGACTGTGTCTTTCTTATTCTTGTTCCCTAGCATTTAGCTCAGCACCAGGCACTTATGGTGGGTTCTCCATAAACATTTTTTAGTTGGATGGATGGGATGAATGAATGAGCTGGAAACAGACAGGCTTATATAGTCGGTGCTCTGTGTACCATCTCGTTCCTTTTTCTTTTTCTTGTATTGGAAAGACTCTTGTAACACTGAAAAAAGAGTGTAGAGAAAGGTTTTCATAGCAGAAGCTGTTTCTCATCTCTGTTACATAGACATCATGACCCTTGTCTCCTATGTGATGGTCTGAGAATCGTCTTTTTGCCAGTCACCAATATATTTTTTCCTAAACAAAAAATGAACAATCTACACTTATGATTGAAAAAAGTAGAAGGCTGGGTGTGCCTGTAGGCCCAGCTACTCAGGAGGCTGATGCGGGAAGATCGCTTGAGCCCAGGCATGCTGGGCTGGAATGTGCTATGCGGATCCGGTGTCTGTACTAAGTTCAGTATCAATGTGGTGAATTCCTGGGAGCAGGGGTCACCCAGGCTAAGGAGGGGTGCACTGGCCCAGGTCGGAAGCAGAGCAGGTCAAAACTCCTGTGCTGATCAATAGTGGGATTGTGCCTGTGAACAACCTCCATAAACACTGTCCCCCAGCCTGAACAACATAGTGAAAATTAAAAAAATAAAATAAAACTAGAATAAGTGGGATAGAATAAAAGTGGGATGTGGCTCCTCCTTCACATACTTTCTCTTTTTTCTTCTTCTCTTGTCCCATTGATCACAAAACTCACACCACCACCTCACTGACACTATGCCTGCCAACACTGAGGCTTCAGTCATACAAGGAAAGTAGCCAGTCTGTAGTGTTCTTCTGTGCTATCATAATGTTTAAATAGGCCTTTTACTTAAAGAATTCCAGAAACTGGCCTTAGGAGATCCAAATATTGAACCAAGGTTTCAGAATGTCCCACCCTAGAAAGGAATGCTGAAAAACTGATGTACAGCCTTGTTGCTGCTGGCCAGACCACCAGGTAGCCCCTGCCATCACAACCAGGTAGGGTGCACTGACCTGCACGCCCTTCCCCTTGCACTGACCTGCACACCCTTCCCCTTAGGTGCCTCGCCCAGCCCAGCCTGCACACCCTTCCCCCGAAGCCAAGTCCCGTGCTTTGACTGATTTAAAAAAGCCCTACTGGCTCTTCCCAGTGAGCTACCTGGAGAATCCTTGTACCTCCACTGTCTCCTTTCTACTTGAGTACAAGCCCCAAAATAAAGCCATGTCTGGGAAATCTGCTTGGCCCCGTGTTAATTTCCATTACATGGGGGAGCTGAAGAGTCTGTGGTCTTTAGCATAAGTAGTGAGCTATAGCGGTTAAGCTATTTCATCCTAAGCGTAGCTCTAGAGGATGTTTTCTAATGATGCAAATTGCTACAGATACATCCATAAGCACAAGGAAATGGTAGAGAAACGTACATCTATAGTGAAATTATAAAGAGATGCATGGGCCATATGATCTCAAAACTTAGGACCACAGTTATCTTTCGGGGATGGCAGGGAATCGGGGGAGAGTGCACGGAGGACTCCAACTGCATTGGTGAAGCTTGCTTCCTTCACGTAGTTTTTGTGTATCATTATTTATATTATTTGTGTGTTTCAAATATTTCTCTTTTTCCTTCTCATATCGGACAGGTAATGTGCCAACATTGTAACAAGGTTTAAAGGATGGATATCTCACACATGAGCATGAAAAACTGTAAGTGTGTTTCACATTTATGAACCACAAAATAATGTGTTTCAAATCTTTCTTACTACATTGAAAGCAACAGCTGAAGATCATGAAGACAGTTCAACAAAGAAATACAAGCTGGTGGCTTGCACCTGTAATCCCAGCAACTCCGGAAGCTGAGGTTGGAGGATTGCTTGAGCCCAGCAGTTCTAAGACCAGCACGGGCATCATAGTGAGACTTCATCTCTAAAAAAATTTTTTTTAAATTAGCTGGGTGTATATTAATACATTTTGCATTTCTATAAAGGAATACCTGAGGCTGAGTAATTTATAAAGAAAAGAGCTTCTCTGGCTCATGGTTCTGCAGGCTGTACAAGACACACAGTGCTGGCATCTGCTTCCAATGAGGCCTCAGGAAGCTTCCAGTCATGGCAGAAAGCAAAGAGGGAGCAAGCACGTCGCATGATGAGAGAGGGAGCAAGAGAGAAGGGAGGAGGAGAGAGATGTGAGGCTCCTTTAAACAACCAACCAGCTCTCATGTGAACAAAGAGAGCGAGAAGTCACTCATTACTACAGGAAGGGCACCAAGCCACGCATGAGGGACCCACCTCCGTGACCCAAACACCTCCCACTGGACCCCATCTCCAACTTACTGGAGATCACATTTCAACGTGAGATTTGGAGGAGACACACATCCAAACCATATCACTGCGTGTGGTAGTGCACACCTGTAATTCCAGCTACTCAGGATGCTGAGGCAGGACGATTGCTTGTGGCCATAGTTGGACATCAACCTGGGCAAAAGAGCAAGACCCCATCTCTACAAAAAGTTTTTAAAAAATAACTAGATGTGGTGGCATATACCTGTAGTCCCAGCTATTCAGGAGGCTGAGGCAGGAGGATCGTTTGAGCCCAGGAGTTCAAGGTTGCAGTGAGCTATGATCATGCCATGGCACTCCAGCCTGGGCTGCAGACCCTGTTTCCAAAAAATAGAAAAAGGCCAGGCGCGGTGCTCATGCCTATAATCCCAGCACTTTGGGAGGCCAAGGCAGGTGGATCACCAGGGCAAGAGATCGAGACCATCCTGGCCAACATGGTGAAACCCCATCTCTACTAAAAATACAAAAAATTAGCTGGACATGGTGGCGCGCACCTGTAGTCCCAGCTACTCCAGAGGCAGAGGTTGCAGTGAGCCGAGATTGTGCCACTGCACTCCAGCCTGGTGACAGAGCAAAACTCCATCTCAAAATAATAATAATAATAAATAAATAAATAATAAAAAAGAAAAGAAATACAAGTGGCCAATAAACACATAAGAGCTGTTTATGTTGGGTTGGGGCAGGAGAAAGTGGAGAGAGAGAGGAGTGAGAGATCCAGCAGAAAGAAACCCTAGACAAAGCTGATTGTAGCTCTACCAACAAGCAAGAGGAAGCAGCTCTGCAGGGACAGCTGCTCTCCCAGCTGTGCTTCTGGAAGGATCAAATAGTGCAAAGCTTTGCCTCCAACTTTTGACATTAAAGACAGAGTAAGTATTTGTCACTGGGAGCCAGAGAACAAAAAAGAATTTGAAAAGCTTTCCTGAGAGTGCTTCTGAGTTTTGCTTTTTTACTCTAAAGAGGCAGGAAAAAACAGCAAAGTTTACATTATGAAATTATTTCAGCTCTCGTGACCAAGACAGTCTGGTATGGGGAAAGCAAGAGCCAGAAACTGTATTATTCCACTGGCCAGTTTTTATGTGTTTGTTTGTTGGCTTTGAGACATGATCTTGCTCTGTCGCACAGGTTGGAGTGCAGTGGCATGACCACAACTCATGGCAACCTCGAACTCCTGAGCTCAAGTGATCCTCCCACCTCAGCCTCCCAAGTAGCCAGGACTACAGGCGTGCACCACCATGCCTGGCTAATTTTTTAATTTTTTGTAGCAACAGGGTCTTGCTGTACTGCCCAGGCTGCTCTTGAACTCCTGGGCCCAAACAATCTTCCCACCTCGGCCTCCCAAATTGCTGGGATTACAGGGATGAGCCACTGCACCTGTACTGGCCAGCGTTCCTTGGCTGGTTTCTCTAATTATCCCTACATCTCCCACACTGGATTCAAAATGCAGAGATCCTTTGACAAGTCTTTATCAGTATAAAAGCCTCTGTGGTTATATCAAAAGCATGAAAAAGGAAAAACTATTTTAAATGAACTGTGGTTTTTCTGAATCTTCTCAAATTGGCTAATCAGTTAGAGAAAACTTAAGAATTTGTAATTGGCCCACTATACAACATATCAAAACTGTAAAGCTGGATAAAACACTGTAGATGACTTAGTTTCACGCTTTCCTTTTCCAGGTAAAGTAAGGCCAGAGAGATTAAATCCTTTGCTTGGGGGTAGGCAGCAGTGTTGGTTTTGGAGCCCACGTGTCCTGACTGAATACTCTACAGCTGGTCATTACTCCAGCTCCTTCTAGAGCATCAGGGAGTCCTGACTCTGGAATCCTGCAGTTCCCTCTGCCAGGGACTTGAGGATGTTCTGGTGTTCACATATAGCACAAGCACTTCCCCCTCTTTTCTTCTGATACCTGCATGCACACCTGAGACGCCTACTCCAAGACTCACCCTGGGGATGAAGTGGCCTGATTTCATTGTCATAAAGGCATCTCTGATGGGATTCTCCCAAGTCAGTAATCATCTGTGGGCTTTATGAATAACAAACATCTTAGCCTTGGATTATGTAGCTAATAAAAATAAGAGGTATATTCTAATATGCCAAAGTCAGCAATTGGGAAGTTCACGTCACCCGGTCCAATGTTGCATCCTCTCTGCGGTCTTTCCCAGTCTCCCCAGGCAGAGCCACTCCCTGCTCTTCTGTTCCTACCCAGATTTCTTAGGCTGTATCATGACCTAATTTGTACAATTTCCCCTGTTAGGACTGTGAGTTCCTTCTGGAAAGGGTTACTGTCTTACTCAACTATATCTCCAACATCTAGGACACAGCTTGGCCTCTAGTAGTTGCTGGGTCCAAATGATGGCTGGGACTGGGAGGAAGGCGCCATGTAGACCAAACAGGGATATAAGTGAACTTTCACACTCACCAACTTTCACTTACAGTCAGGGGCATCATAAGAATGATTATCCAAACCAGGATACTTTTGAATGGAAAGTGGCACTATTAATAATTACAATGGGACAGCAGGCATAAATCAGGCAAATTGGGGTATAGGACTGTCTTCCTTGTAACCTAGGTTTGGAAAGTTTTAGCTCTGGAAATTATGTACAATAAGAAAAGAAACATTAAGTGAATGCATGACTTGAAACCACTAAAAGAGAGGTCTGTTCAAATAAAGGAATTACATTCTGTCAAAGTATAATATACAGTGAAGGGATGGTTAGTCTAGAAATCACCATCCCTTTTATGATTTAACCAAGGGTATCGTATGCGTCTACCCTATGGCACTCTGGATTGGTCCAAGTGGTCACCTGACCTAACCTGGCCCAATCACGAGTCCTTTCCCTGGGATTCTGGGACTACAGCTGCGAAGGATGGGCTGTCTTTGGGTCGCCGATGCAAAGCTGAACACTGGTAGTAGCCCTGCACCCACCACGTTGGGAGAACAGGTTTGCAGATGGAGAGAGGAGCAGAAAGGAGAGATAGAGCCCGCTTCCAGCACAGCTGAAACATTTTGAGGGTCCAGGGCCAGAATATAAACGGACCCACCTATCACGTATCTAAAGACTTGGAAGTTATAAATCCATTGTCAAATAAAACATATCCTGTCTTCCTACCTTAATAAATGTATCTTCATGAGAAAAAAAAAATGGATATGGAACATGTGTAAAGCTACAGGTTTAACATATTCAAAAGTTTGCAAAATGCCTAAGACCAGTGCATTTAATCATTATTACACATTTGGTGTTCTCAATAGGCTCTGACATCAGCCAGAGTAATAAAGATATGCATGATTCAAAAATCACATTAATTCCTTAAAATGTATCATTCTTGCCTTCATTTCAGCAAAATCACTAATGTGGTTATATTCAAGATTTTTACTGAATTTGTGCTCTATCATGAGTTATGGATTAAAAAGAATTTTTAAAAAGATGTAATTGTAGTAAAAATATACCAAATCTGAATATATTTTTTAAAAATTTAAATAAATGTAAACATTTTTAAACTTGATTTTTAAAAAAATTTTTACTTTTAAAGTGTTCAATATGATCTATTAAAATTAAAGGCAGTGTGTGGATTATAATTTACAAATATTAAATTAAAACTCAAACCTTTAAAGCTAAATTTTATTTTAAAAATATAATTGCAATTTTAAATATAAAAATTATTTGCAATTCTAGCATTCGATGTCCATCTGGTTACCAGTGTAAAGAACTGGCATCATGCTTTACCTGTTGTGGCTAGACCTGCATATCTTAAGTTACCACGTGCAACTGTCACATAGGCCATGCTAATTCATGCGAACCTCCTGAATTGAAACAAAGCAAAGAAAAAAACAATCTAGACTACTGGAAAAAGGCACGTCACTATGTAAGAATCCAGTGCATTTATACTATCCGAAGGGAAGAATTTGACAAAATAGTTTTTTCCCCTCTTATCTAAGGCATTTCGATTGCTCAAGTAATTTTTGGAAGGAATGTGCCAGCATGTAATTTCAGTATTATTGGTCTCCCAAGGATGTGGAGCACAAAACCAGGCTGCTCAGTGGTCAAGCTAGCATCTCACTCAGAGGGCCAGAGCTGTGCTCCTACCCACACACATTACCAAAATCAGAGTATTGGTTAACGCTGCCCTGAAGGGAGAGCAAGAAGAAACCTAACAGATACAGAAAGGGAAAGAAGAAGGGTCAAGTTGCATAGGAACAGAAGAATGAAGATTATTTTAATGAAAATGTTCTTGTAATAAAAGGATTACAAAGTCAAGATTTTACTTCTAAGGCTCTTAAAATACAAGTGTTCATAGATGATAATTTTTAAAATCACAAACAGAAATATAATATTAATTGTTATAATGATAGGAGTGTTTCTGGAAAAAAATTGGAGGTGTAAAGGCTGGAGTAAGCCTGAGATAAGGTGATTTTTCTTATTGGATTAATCTTAACAGAAATCACTTATAGGCTGACACAAAATAAATGGGGTGATAATATAATGGATGAAAATCAGATTTTATAATACAAAAGAAAACAGCTATAAGAATGGACCAATATTAATTAAATGACACTTGGTGGAGGCAAAAAGATTAAATGGTAAAGCTTTATTAAACAGACACAGCTGCTAGGGAAGACGGAAGTTAGAGATTTTTAGTTGACTTGGGTCAATAGTGTGATGAAGCTGCCTTCGAGAGCTACTGTAGTCTGCTGTGTTTATATGAAATCTGTGATGTATATTTATTTATATGTATAAACATGTGTTCACATACATTCTGGGGTGCTGGTAATGTTCTGTTTCTTGATCTCAAAGCTGGTTATGTTAGGTTTGTGAAGATTCACCAATGTGCACACACATGTGCATTTTTTGTATGTATGTTGTACTTCAATTAAAATATTTTATGGGACAGACCACATGTGGACTATTATGTTTAGTTATGAACATTTATTTCATTTTAAGGAGTATGAAGAGGCGGTGGGAGGAGCCACAGAAGGAGCTATTTAGGCTGAACAAGCGAAGGCCCGGCAGGGGAGCTGTCTGAAGTTTTTTTGTGCATTCCGCTCAATGATGGTGTTTACCTAGGTTGACCGCCAGCTCCGTGGCACTACCTGAGTGACCTCTGGGCAGCTACTCACCTCTTTTTGTCCCAGCTTCCTCAACAGCAAATTACAGGAGCTTGACTAGATGATCTGAGAACTCCTTAGCTCTCAAGTGCTATGAGCATTAAAAGGCATGTGTATAAAACAAGTATACATGTATCAGAGTTAGTTGGTTCTCCCACTCATGTTTTTCTTACATGTTGTATTTTTTTTTTTATCCAGCTGTGAAACTGGATGGTTAACATTTATGTACTTACCTGAAACAGAAAGTGCTACATTCACTTTAGAAGTTACTTCTATACCAAACTGGTAATTCAAGGAGTTAATTTGCATGTAAAAATTGTTCTAGTACTTTGCATTAGAAGCCTACTAATGGAAAGATTCATTGATTCAGAATCTATTTTTGGACAGAGATGTATTATTTTAAATTCTGATCCTAGTAAGTGACAATTTCCAGTTTTTGTTGGGCTTATACATAAGCCTTGACAAATCTGATCATTTTGACATGATCTCTAGAGTTGTGTTACACAACAAGCCAATCCGCCTGGCCCCCGATGGATGACTGCTGGAAGCCCCTTGAGTAATATGGTGGCATTTCTACCTGGTAGACAGCCAAAAGCAATCAAGCTCCTTGACAGAAGGGCTTATTTGTTTAAGGCTAAGAATGCGGCAGTCAAATCCCCGCTGGCCCCACCACCACTCTCCACTGAGGACTTACTACGCATGGCAAACACACTAGGCAACATTCAAGAGCTATGACAGGCAAGTCACTTCTCCCACCTGAGCCCGTTTGTCACCTAAGTGGGGATAATACTAGCACTTATCTCACAGGCCTCTTCAAAGGATTAAATGAGTGAAACAATGTACAACACTTAGAAAAAATTGGCCAGGCGCCGTGGCTCACGCCTGTAATCCCAGCACTTTGGGAGGCCGAGGTGGGCGGATCACGAGGTCAGGAGATCGAGACCATCCTGGCCAACATGGTGAAACCCCCCCCTCTCTACTAAAAATACAAAAATTAGCTGGGCGTGGTGGCGTGCGCCTGAAGTCCCAGAAACTAGGGAGGCTGAGGCAGGAGAATCGCTTGAACCCGGGAGGCGGAGGTTGCAGTGAGCCGAGATTGCGCCATCGCACTCCAGTCTGGGCAATAAAGAGAGACTCTGTCTCGGGATTAAAAAAAAAAAAAAAAAAAAAAAAAGGAAAGAAAAATGCCAGCCGTAGTAAGTGCTTAAAACACATTAGCTCCCGAAGGGCCCCAAACCCTGGAGACAGAAGCATCCGGTTGCAACCCCTCATCCCTCGAGAGGTGGCAGCAAGCCTTATAGGGAAGCCCAAGCCCAAGCCCAGTGTGGCATAGAATAGAGCAGGGGGCCCGCAGGGAGCCTCCACAATGGCAGGAGTTCTGCACGCTCAGTACCGGTAGCCCAGGGCTCTGGAGGTAGAGAAGTCTGCGGACCAGCCGGAGGAGGCCGAAGAGGCAGCGCATGCGCTGTTGGCCAGCGGACCCGAGCGGGCAGAGGTCAATCAACAGTAGACGCTGTACCCACTGAGGCTTGCTGCCCTAGCACAGGGAGCATGAGCTAAACCTCAGTGCGGAGGATCTGGGCAAAGGCCCGAGGGTGGCCAAGACGCCTGGCTCAGGAAATCAGACTGTCCCCCGAAGGGCGAAGGCAAGGAGGCTGGGAACTTAAACAAGGCAATTCAAAACTGCACGTCTGTGTCACCTTGAATGGGCACAAGTTAAACTCTTTATTGGAGCTTGTGAACCAAGTTGTGTTCAACTAAGCTGCCTGTGTTCAAGACTTAATTACATATATATGTGTATATCCAACTTAAAATGTTACAAATATATTTATTGACATATAATTCATTATGTGTTAATTGAAAAAAGTAAATTTTAAAAATTAAGCACAGTGTAGTGTGATCTCATTTTGTATATCCAACTTTCTGTAGACTAGTTTAACTGGTAAAATTTATGTTTACAACATATAAAACTAAAGGGATTCTATATTTATGGGAACATAGTTTGAAGCAAAAAGGGCTACTGTAAATCTAATCACAGCTCTAATATTCAAGAACATACTTGTTTTCATGATATTCTAGTTTGATGTTTCTCAGGTGTGGTTCCCAGACCACTTCTGTGTGAAGCACGTGAGGTTTAGGTGAAGATGGAGATCCCGGGCCTAACCACAGACACCTTGGATCAGAAAACAGAAGGAAACGTTTCAAGCCAGTCTAGAAGTGTTTTTTCTTTCTTTCTCTAATTTGTGCCCCCATGCTGCCACCAAACACTGTGGTTTTGACCCTAAAACCTCCTGGACCCTTGCTTAAGACCACCGGGATGCGCAGTGTGTTGGGTTGGGGGGATAGCAGTGTGTTTGCTTTCAGGATAGCAGTGCTGCTCAGTGGGATGTTCTGTGATGATGGGGCTGTCCCATGTCTGCTCTGTCCAATGTGATAGCTGCTAGCCACATGTGGCTACTGAGCACTTGAAAGGCAGCTAGGGAGACAGAAACAAGCGTTCGATTTAGTTTAATATTGATTAGTTTAGCTTTAAGTAGCTTGGGCTTGGGGGTAACAATGGAGATGGTAAGACATGAATGGATCTGGGATCTTCTTAGAGGTAAACAGGATCGGACTGGATGGTGATCATTTGAAAACTGCAGGAGGGCAGTGTAGACTCTGGAGGCTGCCTGGGTGTCTGGCTGAAGCTGCTGAGTGAAAAGGGAACCATTTCTGACACAGAGAAGCGTGGGGAGAAACAGACTTTGGGTGAAGGAATGATGGGCTCCATTACAGACATCTTAAGATGTATTCATGAACACTCAGATTTTGCTGGTCTGGGACACAGTGGGTTTCTTTAGGTGATTTTGCTGGTCTCTCTTTCTGAGGCATATCAATTTTATTCCATATTTCCAAATTATCAGAGAGTAATGATCACAGAGTTGGAGGTCAGTTTCCTGTCCCTCATACAGTTTCTATACCAAAGAAATTCCACACTAAAGTTCTTAATGTACTAGCAAATTTTGCTCTAGATTTTTTAAAGTTAGTTTTTTTTTTTTTTTTTTTTGAGGCGGAGTCTCGCTCTGTCGCCCAGGCTGGAGTGCAGTGGCGGGATCTCGGCTCACTGCAAGCTCCGCCTCCCGGGTTCACGCCATTCTCCTGCCTCAGCCTCCCAAGTAGCTGGGACTACAGGCACCCGCCACTACGCCCGGCTAATTTTTTTGTATTTTTAGTACAGACGGGGTTTCACCGTTTTAGCCGGGATGGTCTCGATCTCCTTACCTCGTGATCCGCCCGCCTCGGCCTCCCAAAGTGCTGGGATTACAGGCGTGAGCCACCGCGCCCGGCCTTTAAAGTTAGTTTTTTAAAAGTCTGAACATCTTGATCCACAGGAGCAATTTTATCGATAGAACTGTGATACCGAGGTAATAAGAAAGCTATATCTGATCTCTGCCCTCCAGTTCCTGGCACAGAGCTCGTAAAACTCTTGGTATTTTCTGAGTGATCGGGATGAGAAGTGTTTTTTGTTATTAATAAGCACCTTCCAACCATATCTGAATTTATGCTGATGAGATGACTCTTGGAGGATGGGGGTTGGGGGCCAGAGAAACTAACCATGTGATTAGAGGAACTTTCAGTCCTAACCCCCAGCCTCCAGAGAGAAAAGAGGGGCTGAGAATTGACCTAATTGGCAATGATTTAATCAACCATGCCTATGCAATGGAACCCCCATAAAAACCCTAAGTGAAAAGGTTTGGGGGTTTTTGGTTGGTGAACACTTCCAGGTGGGGGGACGGTGGTGGGCCTGGAGAGCGCACGGAAGCTCCATGCTGCCCCCCCATACCTTGCCCTGTGCACCTCTTCCATTTGGCTGTTCATGTGTATCCGATATAACAAATCAGTAATAGTAAGTAAAGGGTGTCCCTGAATTGTGTGAGCCATTCTTGCAAATTATCAAACATGAGGAGGGAGGGTGTGATGGGAACCCCCGAGTTATAGCCAATCAGTCAGAAGTACAGGAGGCCCTGACTTGCAACTGGCATCTGAAAAGGGGGCAGTCTTGTGAGACTGAGCCCTTAACCTCTGGGGTCTGTGTTAACTCCAGGAAGTTAGTGTCAGATGTGAATTGCAGGATCCCTCCCCACTCCAGCTGATATATGGAAAGCTGCATAATTGGTTGCTATGCGGGGAAAACTCCATATATCTGGTATGGGAACTCTTGCGAATAAAAACAGATCATAGTAAGAGCTTAGCTACTCAGGCAAGTCTATAACCACAAATTCAAAATGATATTAACTTACACTGGGAGACCACCATTCTGGATTATTTCTGTGGAAAAACCTTTAAAGTCTCACTAGGAACTCTGTAGGCTGCATGGGCCAATATAATAACCACTAGCTACATGCAGCTATTTGAATTTAAGTTAATTAAAACTAAATGTGAAACTCAGCTCCTCAGGCATACTAGTCCTGTTTCAAGTGCTCAGTAGCCACATGAGGTTACTGACTACCATACTGGCAGCACACAGAACATTCTGGAATGTCATCACAGAATTTCTATCGGACAGTGTCAAGCTAACTGTAAGGTTCTCAAGAAAGGAAAAGGCTAGGGGAGTTGATGGTGCAAACAAAGGACAGTGTGGGGAGTAAGAGATTCAATCAGAGAAACACAGCCACGTCAGCTAGGCTACAGCAGGAGACTGCGTTTCATTTTAGGACAAAAGGAGGCTGTGGGGTTTAAACCGAGCAGCAGCAGGAATATGAGTCAGGAGACTCCGGAAGTGGTCCAAGAGAAATTACAATGGACAGGGAGAAGTGGCCAAGCAAAGAGATGGGTGTGCATCCTGTAGAAGGGAGAGAAGAGCAAGCTTGCTAATGGATGGTGCCATTTGGAAACAGCAACAGTTTTAATTAACTCATTTTACTCACTGTCATTTACCCTGTCTGGGAAAAAAAACAAGAGAGACTTTCTGAATGTTCTTATACCTGAAAGTGAAACTGGTTCACAAAATAAACACATACATAATCCAATGCCAAAAACTGGTGATTTATAGAAATCACCCTGGTTTATTTTTTTCAACAAAGGAAAAAAAAACATGGTTCAATAATTCAGCATTTGGGACTCTGGCAAGTACTGTCTGCATTGTTCAAAATAAGTGTTCCTGGCTGTGAGCTCTGCAACACATACTGATGGCCCAGGAACCTTCTTCCATGGTTCTAATAAAACAAAGGACCCACACATGGAGGTTACGTGAGTCAACAAAAGATGCTCTATCACAATGTGCGTAAAAAGCAAGTCTTTGAAAAATATCCAGATCTCTAAAGGAATACAAACACTCCTATTTGGTTTTGTTTTTGTTCATCTTCAGTATTATATTTTAGTTGTTGAGGAAAATTTTTTTTACTGTAAGGAAGGAGTTATATGACTTTATAAGTGGGAACCAACAGGCTGCCGGCTAATACATACGCTTTCCCTCCAAGTCAAGTAGCTTTTTCCCCCCGAAAGCCTCTTTCATGATTTTCATTATGGTTCAGAAAAGTAAAGAAAATGATTTCAAGTATTCAATTCCTATAAAAATTGGTATCAAAAGTAATAGAGGACCTAATTTCTTTATAATTCCATGTTTTAAAAAATAACTTAAGAAGCAAGAGGTCCGGCCCTTTACTTGTATAAATACAGCAGCAGAACTAGAGTTTCTTAAGACAACGTGGAGAAGAGTCTGTGTTTAGCACCTCAATCATCGATCTTAACGTTGGAAACGTTTCTGATACTGATGGAAGAGTCTTATAAGAAGGTGAAATACTGAAAAAGAAAAACACAAAGTAGCGGCATGAAAATTAACAAAATTTGCAAAAAAAGGGCAGAGCTTATATTTATTCCTATCATTATATTTATTATATTCATGTTGTAATATCAAACAGTGTTAGAAAGGCAGGGAGGAGCTGTGAACAGAATGGCTCCTCTCACAACAACGGCCTGCGGCATCAGCCAACACGTTACAAGTCGCTTGGAAGTTAAGCCAGAGCTTTGAAAAAGAAAATTAAACTCTGATTTACATGTCCAGCTGTGGTGCATGCTGGGCTTGGAATCAAAAGACACAGGTTTCAGGTCCAGCTTCACTCCTTATTAGCTTTCTTTACTTCTCTAGGCTGCACTTCCCTGATCTGTCACAGGGACAGTGTTCTTAACTCGCAAAGTTACCATGAGCTCTGAATGAGATAAGGTATTTCAAGGTACGCTGTAAAGCGTTAACTGCAGGATGTAAGGTAGCATTGTTATTCTTTCCTTAAAGAATTGTCAAAAGATTCACACTGTACAATTATGTAAGAATAGAAGCAAGACCTTCGGCCTGGTGGTTGTATTACTAAAACATGTGCAAACTAATAAGCCTGAAACAACAATGTACCAGGACAAGGTGTAACTGTTAGAAGCTTTCATTGCAAAGCTAAATTACAAATTGAGCAATGGTAGACTACAGGCACAAATATTTCTGTTTTAAACAGAACATAAATTACCCAGCAATAGAGTGGTTGCTATGTCAAATAGACGTGAAAGGCAAAACTGGGGGTGGTTGGGATGTAAAAAACCAGGAGAAGGGGCAAAAATAACTAAAGTTGAACAGTGAGGCTTACTTATTCTTCATTAACTACTGAGGCATCTATGAGTTTAATTTCACACACTTCAAATTCACACAGTCCTCTCCAGTGCTTCTGGAAACAAGAGCCAGGAACGATCATGGTCTGCTAGACTCCTCACACACAGTGTCCGTCAGGGATAATTCCTGGCTGCAATAAAATGCAACCAAGTAGGCTAAGTGCTACCACTCAGAGTAATGTAAAATGGGCTCTGTCTACAAGTTCAAACACTCCTGAATACTGAGCCTAAGAGTAAACAGGCCAAGAGAAGTGAATACCTGATCATATAAATAAGACTTTGGTAATTTTCTTTCACCAACTACTTTTTAAATTTTTTATTCATGGTTCTTTAAGAGTCAGGGTCTCACTCTGTCACCCAAGCTGGAGTGCAGTGGTGCAACCATAGCTCACTGCAGCCTCAAACTCCTAGGCTCAAGAGATCCTCTCGCTTCAGCCTCCCAAGTACTTGGGACTACAGGCACACACCACCATGCCCAGCTAATTTTAAATTTTTTTGTAGAGGGGAGCAGTTTCACTATGTTGCCCAGGCTGGTCTCGAACTCCTGGCCTCAAATGATCCTTCCACCTCAGCCTCCCAAAGTGCTGGGATTACAGGTATGAGCTACTGTGCCTGGCCTTCATAGTCCATTTTTATCCATACATTCACCCTTAAAAGGTTATCTTATACAACAGCAAAACATTTTAACCTTGAAAAAGTGAATTAAATTCATTGTATTACATATTAACTTATAAAAATGAGTATAACAGTTCCAGTTTTCATAGCGCTCCAAAGTAACAGGAAACTCCTTTTCCTCCTCCAGTTATGATACCCTTGTGTGGACCCCCCTCAAGTAGTTACCTTTTCAAGTTCATCCAGCTTTTGGCGACTTTGCTAAAGGCCTCTGAACCAGGGGCTGTCATAGCTTCAAAGTCGACTAACTGAAAAAGAAAGACATTTAGGAATGTTACTAAACATGGAGGACACAGGCTCGGCTGGAGATCTATGTAACTCGTGTACCTTAAAATAAAAATCCATAAATTGGGACTTAATACATAACCAAGCATTTCTCCCTTCCCGCTCCAACATACCTTCCCTTTGGGAATTTTTCCTGCTACTTCTTTTCCACTTGCCATCAGTGCTCCCACGATGACCGAGTAAGCAATTACACTATTTAAATAAAGAACAAAGGTCAATCCATCCTGGACGGTCTACAGTTACCATGTTAAATTTCACCATGGACTTCCCATCATGAAAGATAAAATTTATTCAAAAATTCTTTCAAATAAAACACCGAATGTTTCATTTAACATGAAAATATGCCTATTTGTTTAAGAATAGTTACTAATTTACTATTAGAATATATTTACTGGCCAGGTGAGGTGGCTCACACCTGTAATCCCAGCACTTTGGGAGGCCAAGGTGGGCGGATCGCTTGAGGTCAGGAGTTTGACAGCAACATGGCGAAACCCTGTCTCTACTAAAAACACAAAAATTAGGCCAGGCATGGTGGCTCACACCTGTAATCCCAGCACTTTGGGAGGCCGAGGTGGGTGGATCACTTGAGGTCAGGAGTTCGAGACCAGCCTGACCAACATGGCAAAACCCCATCTGTAACAAAAATACAAAAAATTATCCAGGAGTGGTGGCATGTGCCTGTAGTCCCAGCTACTTGGGAGACTGAGGCAGAAAAATTGCTTGAACCCGGGAGGCAGAGGTTGCAGTGAGCCGAGATCGCTCCACCGCACTCCAGCAATGCATGTATACAATAAAGTTCATAAATACAAATACATATGTTAGTCTTACTTTTTAAGCATTAGAAATGCTGGCCTTCAAAGAAGAAATGCAGAATACATTCTCACAATGTACTAACGGACAGATGGTTTGGAGATTTGGGCATGTGTGTGAACTGCCAGGGCTCCAAGGTGGCTGTTAGAGGCCAGGGGATTGTGGGGTACCTTTGCCTGCTGGCTCGGAGGCTCGTGGGGCAAGGTCTGCTGCCCTGTCACTCCAGAACGAGTGTAGAGCTGCGAGTGTGCAGGTCTGGGGTAGGAGGCATTTGTAAGACGTTGTGCTTCTGCTCTTGGTGAGGGAAGAGAGGGAGCTGACTGGTTTTGGGTGGAAGGGGCTGGCAAAAGGCCATGGGACCCACTATTGTAACCACAGTGTTGTGCTTTTCCCAAAACAAATCGGCTCAAAATAAAGACAGCTCTCACCCATGAGATAATGCATCCTAGCAGGTGGAAAGGATGGCACGAGCACCTGAGAAAGCTAACAAGTGCCATGGGTGGACACCAAGAAAAGTGAGTCAAGGTGATTCATGGGGTTCTCCAGCAGGGAAGACTTCAGAGGCTAAAGACATGTGCTCTGCAACCTCCAGGGTCCCAGGGCTGAAGATGAAAGGGGCAGAGAAGGCAGGGAGATGTGGCAGAGAGCCCACGTGGAAAGCCAAGGGGAAGCAAAAGAGCCACGGAAGAGAGCGGTGCTGCAGCCAAGGCAAACCAGGGCAGGGCAGGGCTAGCACTGCGCACTGTGTATGCTGCCAAGCTCGGCTTAAACCCATGGTTTTCAGAAGGTGCTGGAGAGCCGCAGGGCACAGAGAGGAGCAGGAGCAAAGCTAGCTGTGGCGGGTACAGGGAAGAGAGAAACAGAAGTGTGGGAGGCAGAATCAACAGACTATTTAGGATTGAAGAGATGTAGGGATGAGGCAGAGTTGAGGACAATCAGAGCTGCACGTCCTTCAATGTCACACGTGAGCCAGCAGAGCTGCTGTGAGGACAAAGGACGGATGCTGGCTGTTGAGTACAGTGGGGCCCACAAGCGGTGATGTGCACAGGCCTCACATCCCTTATTCAGTGGACACAACTAGCAATATTATGCTGATAAGACAACATTTATGTTTCTATTTTGTTTCAATGAGTCTTAAATTCTATAACCAAATTTACTACCACACTTAGGGGAGTTTTACTTTCTAAGCCATTAATCAAAGATAAAGACATTCAAGTGTATTATTTTTAGCCAAAACATCTTAAGTTCAACTATGTGCCAGTAATGGCAAAAGGCCATTTACATAATTTACTGCACACAGTGCTGGGAAAAGGAGAATGAAATGAAAACTCTACAGTCATAGCTCTTGTTTTAATGATACCTAAAAAACTCCTGATATACAAGTAGCAAGAATTTATCCAAAATAATAAAAATAGTACAGAGTGACTGTTGGCCCAAAAGTATAAAACATGAGGATTATGGGTCACCTGACAGCCCAAAATGGAAAAGGAAGAGGAGGAGGAAGAGGTTCAGTAAGAGGCTGGCAGATACAAAAAATTAAAACACACTGAGCACGGCACATGATACACAGTAAACTTTCCATGAACTTGTGTTGAATGGATGAATCCCTATCCTATTAAACGTAAGCACACTATATTAGAACTGTCTTCTATAATTCTTTTGCTGATGTGATAGACTAAGGAAATATTTTTTTGTGCAGATTTTGGAAAAAAATAGGGAGCTCCTTACCATTTCTTTGTGTACTCTGTACCTATATCCATAACAGGAAGGATAAGCAAAAAAGAACACATTTCTCAATTTAAAATAATTTTAATGACAGGATATTACTTACCTGGATCCTCGAGAGAGTGGCATTAAATTATAAAAGTAATAAACTAAGGATAAGATTAAGTTGCAGACAGCATCAGCCTCCTAGAAAAAAAAGATACAGACTCATAAATACTATAAAGATTACAAACTAATTTTTCATTAGGTGACAGAACACACAAGAATAATCTACATCAAGAAGAGGATTGTTTTCTTCCTCCCCCATAAGAATCTACTTTTCAAATTCTTGAATATTCTATACCCTTTTGTATCATTTTTTTCCAATTTAGTTCAATTTAGAGCAATGTTTTCCCAGCTGTTTCTTAAACTGCAACTCTTGGATAAACATAAAAATCTCAGTCTCCTTTAACGTTATTTGAAATGTCAAAATATATATTGTGACTAAAATTTTAAAAGGCATTTATTAACACCAAATATGTTCTCTCAAACAACATGTACCTTACCCCAAAAGATCTGGGTAAGCCCCTTCCCCTACTCCGCATTGAGATTTGGATGATGCTCAATTATGTGTATAAACTTAGATGTTTAATTATATGGATGCAGTGATTAAATGTTGGAGAAATAAGGTGACTTTTCAAGGGTAAGGGGCACCCGTCCACTGCAGAACACAGAGAAGGGGCGTGGTGGGGAGAGAATGTCCACCATACCCTGCTGCCTGTAACGACTCCACCTCGAGTCCAAGCAGACAACCAAAGAAGAAGGCCACAGACCAGGAAAGGGCCGCCAAGTGCAAAGTATACACAACTTCATTATACTTTCCTTGCCATTAACTCATCAGAATGCATCATCCAGTTTACATTCAAAAGCTCCTTGTAAATATACGGTTATAAGCAACAACCGCAACGAAGGGAAGAAAATGGAAGAAAAAGGTGAAGCCCAGGTCATTTTCATTATGGACCAGCTTTTTTATATCTTGTCAAAGCCCAAACTTATGATAATGTCATAGTGCAGTACTAAATTATTAATTTATTATCCTCCCCATTACTGTAGTTACTAAATACAAGAATTTTTGCCTATAAGAAATAAGAAATATTTTTAGGTCAATTCAACCCAATTTCAAGCATAAGATGTACAATCTCAGTGAAAGGGCAGAGGTTCAAAAAATTTACAAAAGAATCATAGGAAGAGCAGAAAAATGGAAACAAAGAGAAACCTACCCCAAATTCTGATGAAAGAATCAATACTTTTCCTTTTGCTGTCAAATCTTTATAAAGTGCATCTATTTCAGCATGATATAATTGTGTCCTTTCTTCCGTGGTTTGAGTTTCCACAGAAAATAATATATTGCCAACTCTGAAAATACAAAAATAAGTGTGAAAGGCATGTATTATAAGTTCAAACAGCCAAACACAGAAAGTTTTTTTTAAAAAGCAAATAGCATACTGACGTAGCACTAAACATATACAAGAATGTACCTTACCTTTCTAACTATAGACAAGCAAGGTAGGTTTCATGAGAATGCATTCTTTCTTCATAAAATGTGATAGTTGCCTCACCTTTAAGTGACCAGTAACTCATTTGCTCACAGTTAAGTCTAACTACATGTACTTATTACACAAACTTAAGCTAATATATGGGAAAACAATGACACATAGTAAAGAATGCATTTAAATAACCAGTAAATATTTTCTAAGCCACCCCATTAGGATTAAAGGTCAGAAGCAAGAACTGTGTGTAGGAAGAAAGTTCAGGGACTACACCATGGTTCTGTTTTTTATCAAAACAAAAAAAAAGTGGAGCTGAAGCTCCACTGAGGTTCTGTGGAGGATATAAGTTTGATACAACAGGCATTTTTTGTATAACGCCACTAGCAAAGTGTTGCATTTAGTCCTCGGAGCCTACAAAGAAAAGCTCAGCTGCTGCCTTGATTGAGGAAGGAAGGAAGAAACGGGGCCACAAATTATTATTATAAGAAATGGGATCTTGCTCTACCACCCAGGCTGGAGAGCATTGGCATGATCATAGCTCACTGCAGCCTCAAACTTTTGGGCTCAAGTGATCTTCCCGCCTCAGCCTCTTGAGTAGCTGGGACTACTGGTATGCACCTGTAGTTATTTTTAAAAATCTGTTGCAGAGGCAGGGTCTCACCATGTTGCCCAGCCTGGTCTCAAACTCCTGGCCTCAATCTTCCCATCTTGGCCTCCCAATATGCTGGTATGAGCCACCACTTCTGGCCAAGGGCCACAAATTATTATGAAACCATGACTCAGGTCATAATGTAGCTCATCAGAGGTTCAAAAAAGGAATCTAATTTGGACAACATAGAGAAAAGCAGGAAAGGTCTCATGGGAGAAGTGGCCTGAACATGGGTCGGGATGGGAGTGAGAGACCCAGACATTGGAAAGCAGGGGTGAACTGGGGAACAAGCATTCCAGTCGGACTAGCAGGCCAGGTTCCAACAGGGAGATGGTCCAGGTCAAGCAGGAAATGTCTGAGGCCACTTTGTGAGAGGCTGTGAATGCCTGGCAGGGAAGCTGGTTTGGGTAGCCACAGGCAATGGCTGGGTATGGAGAGGGGAGAGATTTGTGGAGCTAGGGGAACGTCCAGTGAGGTGGAGCTCTAGCAACATTGGTGAAGTGCTGGTGAAGCAGGAGACAGAAGATGGGATGCCAGGCAGAGTCGACTCGAGGGGTCAGGAGGCCCAGAGCAAGGGAGGCAACAAGTGAGGTGAAGCAGGAAATTGAGGAAAGATGTCACGTTTCAAGGGGAGAAATTTCATGTACAGTTGACCCTTGAACAACATGGGTTCGAACTGCATGGATCCACTTATACGAGGATTTTCTTCCACCTCTGCCACCCCTGAGACAGCAAGACCAACCCCTCCGTATCCTCCTCCTCAGCCTACTCAACGTGAAGATAGTAAGGATAAAGACCTTTATGAGGATCCACTTCCACTTAATACATAGTTAAGTATATTTTCCTTATTATTTTCTTTTTTTTTCTCTTTTTGAGATGGAGTTCACTCTGTCACCAGGCTGGAGTGCAGTGGCATGATCTCGGCTCACTGCAACCTCCCCGTCATGGGTTCAAGCGATTCTCCTGCCTCAGCCTCCAGAGTAGCTGGAATTACAGGTGCGCGCCACCAGGCCTGGCTAATTTTTGTATTTTTAGTAGAGATGGGATTTCACCATATTGGTCAGGCTGGTCTCGAACTCCTGACCTAGTGATCCGCCCGCCTTGGGCTCCCAAAGTGCTAGGATTACAGGCGTGAGCCACTGCGCCCGGCCGACTTTCTTAATAACATTTTCTTTTCCCTAGCCTACTTTACTGTAAGAATACAAAATATAATATATATAACATATAAAATATATGTTAATCAGCTGTTTATGTTTTTGGTAAGGCTTCTGGTCAACAGTAGGCTATTAAGTTTTGGGGTAGTCAAAGGTTATATGCAAATTTTTGCCTGCTGGGGTGGGAAGGTCAATCCACCTAACCCCTGAGTTATTCAAAGATCAACTGTACTTATATAGTAATTTCATTTCTGCTTAGGAATCTGATCTGAGGATACACATCGTGGATGTGTGAAAAGGTAGGAGAACACTTTTTATGTTAAATAGCACAACCTGCAATCAGGGGAGAATGATCTTTATTGGGAACGTACTTTGATAAGAAGCTTGAGGTAGAGATCAAGACTTCAAAGATATAGAAAAGCCCTGAAATCTGGAAGTTGCTGAACTGGTGTTTACTCATGAAGGCCTGTTTAAGTTTTGACATGGAACTTGAAGAGGTGGCTCCTTGTAGTTTAGAGGAAAAGTATGTGAGAAAGCCAGAGCCCAAGAGGCAGAGGGGCTGGAGAATGTGAGTCATAGTCTCACTGCTGAGCAGGTGGAAACCAGGGGGAGGGCATGGCACTTCCCAAGGCTATGCACCTGAATATGGGGTGTGTGTGTATGTGTGTGTGTGTGTGTGCACAGCTCAAGGCAATTCCACCCACAATTCAAGGAATATGGAGGCTGACAGACAAAGCTTGGATTTCAGATGTAAATAAAACTAGAGTTAATAAAAATGTTTACTGCAGTGCTATTTATAAAGCAAAACAATGAGAAATACCCTAAGTGGTCAATAACAAAAAGATCAGTCAGAGAAATTCTACATCTATACAATGGAATATTATGCAGTTACTAAAAATACTTTTAAGAATATGACTGGGGAAATGATTGTGATAATGTAATGGTAAGGGTAAATAGTAGAACAGTCTAACCTCAGTTTTTAAAGAAAATAACTTGATTTTTATTTTGTTAATTTTGCTTATCTGTATATTCTAAATTTTCTACAATAAGATTATACTACTCATTAATTATTAAAGCTGTTTTCTCTCTCTCTCTCTCTCTCTATATATATATAGATTGGCTTTTATACATATATATTTAAATCTACAATGGACTTCAATCCGCCAACTGCTCATCTTTTTTCATTTTATTAGTAAAAGCCTCCCTCGCCCCCCCAAGGAACTTCAAGAACCCAGAAGAATGTCTCCCACAAACTACATCATACATAGTATCTAGAAAGTCCTTAGATTTAGACAGTCAGAAAATGTATCTGCTGGTGTAATACTTTAGATGTCACATTTTTTTAAATAACTGGTTATAACTGCTCACTGGACCTTGATACTTTTCATTTCAGGATGGAGCAAAAGTTCAACACCACAAAACTCTATAGTGACAATAAGCACAGGCACCCTTCCTGCCTCGTCTCTAGTTTACACCCACATTAAGAAGCGCACATACTTGTCTCCTGTAATCGTGATTGTGAATCCATCATATTCCTTCCCTTGGTCTTTAAGGCTGGGAACTTTTGTGTTCACGGTGAACCCATCCTTCGTTTTAGTATTAAACTGCTTTCAGGGAAAAAGAAAATTCACGTTACTAGTGTTTCATTCACTGTAAACCCCAACTGCAACTCTGTAGTGCTGGCTCTACCTTACATGTTTTTAAAAAGGGCCAAGGAGGTCATCTGATACAAGAGATGGTGGCCTGGTGGCCAAGGACATCTCTGCCTGTCTTCAGGCCCCAACAGAGCCCAGGTTACGCTCCCCACAGCTCCTACCAGAGGCCAGCAGAGAACCTCAGCACCAAAAGCTCACAGGTTCTCTTCGTCAACAAGGGGCACTGCTCACTTCTAAGAGCTCCCTTTGAATGTTTTCTCATGTCCATCTTAGTAGGCAGCAACCTTGAATCATGGCAGAATAGTTGTACCTAACATCCCGTAACTCAAAAATGCAACTTATGCTCATACTAGTGCTCAAAGCAGAGACTGATTTTTCTGAAGAGTACCCAGGATTATATCCACTAACTGGAGAACTTCATTCACACCCACACCCACACCCACCCAACTCTGTGAGCCACAGATAAGTCGGTTAAGTTAAAAGAATTACTCGGAGTTAAGAATGGCTTTCGGAGTGATAAATGTATGAACACAGTTTCAGACGTTAGCTTTCTGTTTAAAACATTTGGGACAAACCTGCAATGGCAATAAATAGGTTTCAGAAAATGACCCCCAAATTTAGTTAACTTAATATTGCCAATTTTTTTTTTTAATTGATGGACTGGAAGTTAAGAGAAGCAACAGTAAAGTACAAGAGGCTGCTGCTTCATGAGGGGAGAGCTTGTCTAGAAACAGAAAGATGCACCAGGTGTCACCAGCAGCCCAGAAGCCAGAGGATGAGTGGCACAGGTCATAAGGCCCACAGCAGGCACTGAGCAGGCAAGCATCTTTCACGCCAAAAAAAACGACTTTCAGGAGAAGAAATGCGTTAACACACTATGTGCCAATTCTCATCTAATCCTCACAACATACTGATAGCACTAGGTATGGTCTCAATCTTACAGATGAGAAACGAACTAGGTGAGGCAAAGTCTGGCTGAGTCCCAGCCAGCAGGGAAGCCGCAGAGTGGGAATGTGGGCCCAAGGTCTTGGTGAATTCCAGTCCGCGTTACTTGCTAATAAACCGCCTCTAGGGGGCGCTGACATACACGTTAACTTGGTTTTTCATCAACAGTACCATTGTGCCTTTCAGTGGAAGTTGACCTGGTACATTCCACTAAGCACTTTAAACACTCAAATATCTTGTTGTATATTC
Source organism: Homo sapiens (assembly GCF_000001405.40). NCBI lineage: Eukaryota > Metazoa > Chordata > Mammalia > Primates > Hominidae > Homo > Homo sapiens. The sequence continues at coordinate 230,917,545 of NC_000001.11, forward strand.
TGCTGTGTGTGCCTTGCAAAGTACCAATATATCCGTAATCCTGGGTAAAGGCTAGATGTATAATGCTGAAATGGAATGTCATCCCACCGCAGAGAACAAACATCTTACATCTTTCAGACAACAGTTGGTGATTTCACACCGAGAGGCACACTGAGGCTGGCGATGCCGCGTCTCAGGCTGCATGCTAAGTGACTACAGTCTTGTAGCCCACTCTGTTTTTCTTCTTAGACAAAGACATATAAAATATTAAAATCTCCCTAAACTGACGTTGTATTCTGCCTAATACCACAGGACATCTAAATGCCTAACTAGAATACCCACAGGAAGGCAGCTGAAGAGCCCTCACACACCAGTTTCCTTTCTATATGGTACATCTCAGGGCCTGTGGTGAAGCCATTCTGCCCCCTGGGGGGCGCTGGGGAAATTTATGGGAGACTGATTATTACAGGGATTGGACAGTTGGGAGCCAAGATTACTATATGTCCCACAGTACAGGGGATTGTCACACATAATGTATGATTTTCTAATGTCCCACTGGATTTTCATGTAGATGAAGAACATGTTTATCATTTAATCAATATGTGGGCCTGGAACCAGACTCTGTTTTGCACTTAAACGCTAACTATTTATTATATAGTTTTCATACATACTGAATTTGCCAGGAATGCAAATAGCATACACATTGAGTAAGGAGTCTACTATATATAGCTTGGAGCTTTACTAAGCTTGGTTTACCATTTCAGAAAACCACATCGCCAATGACAATGTAGCTCACCAAATAACACACAGATATGGGGCTACACTTATAACTGTCACATTCACCATGATTTTACATGCAGGTGTGAAGCACTGGCTACTGCTTTCCGGCTTCTAGAGAAGGCCTGCCCCAATTTCTGCATACTGAGATACACTGTGTGGACACTGTGTGGACTGAGATACTGAGATGACTTTGCGTGGACATTTTTTAGGAGGTGAGACATATTCTCTGTGAAGTTCATCTTAGTGCAATAAAGGAGTCAGTAAAGGGGGCATCTGAACATGTTTACTGAGTCAACGCAGTGGGTTTGAGAAGGTTGAGGGGCACTGTGTTAGTGCATCAGACCCTCACAATAAACTCCACGAGGTAGGTCTGGCCACAATATTTGGTCTTCAGCAGACCAAAAACCTGGAATAACTGTAAAATAGGCTCATCCACACCCACCCAGGCAGATGTGGGGCCTGGGTCAGATGCTCAGCTCTGTTCATGACATGCTACTTCCTTGCTATTCCTTAGAAATAGATACACTTTGCTTATTCATACAAATTTCCTAAATTTTACATGAATCAATCTCATCTACTATAGCTGCAAGGAAAACATTTACTGAAGTTGCACATTAGTGTTTAAACCACTAATTGGAAAAGCAATTCTAACTGCTGTTGGCATGTTTTGGGGCAGTTTTACTCCTAGATGGAGGAAAGGTTCACACAGTTATAATTCTTAATGGATTATACTTTAATCAAATAATTTCTGTCCCTTTTAGTGTCCTTCCCATTGAATTCAAATGTTTCCATTATTGATATTGCCACACATACTTTTCTTCTCATTAGCATTTGCCTGGTATACCTGGATCATACTATCATACTTTTGTATCTAGCTTTTTGTTTGTTTGTTTGTTTGTTTTTAGGAGATGGGGTCTCACTCATCACCCAGTGTAGGCAAGAGAGCAAGACCCTGTCTCAAAAAAAAAAAAAGAACAGAAATTTATTTTGGAGGCTGGGAAGTCTGAGATCAAGGTGCCAGCGTCTGATGTGAGCCTTCTGACTGCTGCCTCACATGACGGAAGCTGGAAGGGCAAGAGAGGCCACTCCCCAAAGCCCTTTTTATAACGGCATGAATCCATTCATGAGGGCTCTGCCATTAAACACTTCCTGTTAGGCTCCACCTCCCAACATATGTGCACTGAGGATTCCATTTCCAACACATTCATTTTGAGGGGAACACATTCAAACGATGGCATTTACTTCTCTAGTAATTAAAGAGTATAGGTTATTTTGCCTTTCTTTAAAGGGTAATGAGTTTTGACAGGTAGTCAAATCACTAGCAGATCCACTTAATCCTTTAGACTTAGTTTTATTCTTTGTTAGGGCAGTCTATTTAGAAATTGTTCTTAGTCCTAGGTTGTGGGCCTTACTGTAAAGTATGGTCTTACTTTTAAACTGTGTCCTTTCTGGGGTCTTAACTAAACGCCCAAGGTGTTCACAGGATCCATCCACATTGGCAAGGCCGAAACTCCAATGTCTCTCAGCACATACACCTCTGATACCTCTGCTCAGCTTTCGTTCCCACAGTAGCCACTCTCTGCTGAGCCTCTCATGGTCTTTTATTGCATGTTCATGACCAAGGTCTTAGTCAAGGATGAAAAGGAGTGCTCACATTAACCCCTGAGCACTCCCCAGCCTACATGGCCTCCTTCTCTCCTATACTCTGCTCTGCAAATTCCAGCCACTTTGGCAGAACCAAACTCCACTCTCTACCTCCTTAGCTTAGCAAGACCACTGTACTCTGCTTGGGCTCCACATTACCGTGCAGTGGTCTAATAAATACCACAGTAGAAAGCTGGGGTGACAGTGGGATTCACATTATTGTAATTAGCCAGTGCCTGAAAATAACTAACTTTTGTCCAGTTTTATAACTGCAATCATGTAGAAGGGCAGCTGAGTACCAGTTACTCAGCTGTGGCCAGAAGCAGAATTCAATTATATGTATTTTTAAGTTTTCTTTTTTCTATATTAACTGCTTCCTCACAAGTTGTTTTTTCTGTTTGAGTCTGATGCCTGTAGGTTCTTTTATTTTGGTTATTATTCAGAATGTGTTCATACGAGTGATTTCAAATAGCATTTAATAATTCTGAGTTCTTTTTAAAAAAGTGCTGTTGGTTTTCTTTTCCTCTAAAAACATGGACTGCCATTCTGATGCTAAAGTTACCTTCATAATCGGAAGAAGGTCTTCTACTTTGTGTACCTTTTCCAGGGCTTCCCGAACTTCCAGCAATCCTTTAGGATTATTAGCTCTTAAAGAGAGACAGAGAGAGATGGCAACTGAGATTAATGCAGAATTGTAATAATTAATCATGCAATTATCTTTAATTTAAATAAATTGACCTCAATTTTGAGTAGCTAAACATTCAAAATGGTAGGCCACAAATAAACCTTCCAAATAACGGGATAGTTCAATTCTAATGAGTTTTGGACTGCAGATGAAAATTAAGGAAACAGCAGCAGATGAGAATTAAGGAAACATCTAGAAGGCAAAACAGGAAAAAGCAGAATGGATCAAAAGCCAGTGTTTGTGTGAACATGTATGGTTATGAGTTTGGTTCTTAAACTCTGATTTTCCTATTCCAGCTCTAAAATTATATGTGGATGTTTTGTGTTGTTTTTTTCCTTTCTAAAGCTGCTCAAATGAAAGTATTCTGCTAGGTTTTTCCACCGATTTTATATTTACTTGGTGATATTTAAGCATTCAGATTTTTTTTCTCCTAGTGTTCTGCTCATTGTTTTGTCTATCCCATCCTGCCTTTCAAGTGAAGGAGAGTAAGTATTAAAGCTGAAATCCCTAAAAGATAAATCCAAAGAAACATCCTGCTTTATAGAAGAAAGAGACTAGAAAAGTCACAATAGTGCACATAAAGTTAAAAACACTTCAGTTGAGGTCTGTGGATTTTGTATTAAAAAGAAAGTGATTATGAAAGCCTTTACGATTCTAAACACTGTGTAAAAATTTGATAGACCTTGTTTAGCCCGTCAACAGGCTTAGTTCTCAAGTTTCAAAAATATAACAAATATAAAACACATGAAATCAACTCATTACTAAGAAGGAGAAAATTAAAGGCTTACCCATGATAAACAAGAATTCTGTCTTTAATAAAATGAAGTATTTTCTCAAAATATTCTAGGTATCTCATGTTGATCACCTGACCCCTATAAGGCAAAAATAATAAAATTAAGAATATTTTTATAGAAGAATATGCTCAAGCCAACATCTAATTTCAAAGTTAATTTAAAAAAATAAGAAACTATGAGAATAATGTAGAAAAAAAAAGTCTGGGAAATTCGCTTGTTCATAGTCAATGAGTGGTGAAGCAAAGCACCGTCTTAGCAAGACTGCCTGCCAGCTCACAGGGCCTATTCTGGCATCAAACTCAGTGCCAGATCAGCCACAATGGGAAGACAAATCCCCCAGCACTAAAGTGAGGTCCAGACTTTCATATCAGCGTCCTCTGACGGATCCCATCACTTGTGGGCAGTGTGCCGTCTCCCCTCCCTCAGTTCTCCCAACAGCATTATCCAATACCCTGTCTTGCTCTCTAGCTCACTAGCAGTCTCCTTTCCTCTACCCACTCGGAATACTCTTTTCCTCACATTTCTATCCCTTCTGATCTTTTCCTTTTAAACTCACTCCCAGAACTCCATGTTCAGCCAACATGCTGAGTCACATGACACAGCCGACTGCTCCCAGGACATCGCTCCCTGGGTTCCCACCAGGCATCTCAAACCTCAAAGGTTACTGTCAAGTAAGAATTCCCTCCTGCAACCCACACTTCTCCCAGCCTCCCCACTAAACATGTCCACCTACTTTTCGTTCTGGTGCTCTCTGGCCTAATGGGACAACCACGTACCTGAGGGAAGGTGGCCTTCCTCTAGCTCCATGCCCTTCCCACTGCAGCCCACTGCCAGTGCTCCTGATTCTATCTTCTAAGAGTCTAGCTCTTCCTCTCCAACTCACTACCACACAGCTTTTGAGGCCTTTGCACTTGTCCACCTGAACAACTACACAATTTTCCAACCTCCTCCCTTACCTCCGAGGTTCCTGCCTCCTCTCCAATCTATTTTGCCATCTTCTCCCAATGTGCAAATCTGTTCCTGTTACTTCTCTGCTTATAATCCCTGAATGGCTCACCATTGTCTTCAGGGGAAAAAATTCCTTAGCTTGGACTATAAAATGATTTATGTTCTGACTTCTGCCTATCTTTCTAGCCTTAATTCCTGATACTCCCTTAATTGCAAACTCACCACCAGGCGTAATGAGTTAGTCACAGTTTCCTGACCATACCTAACTCATCCATGGGTCCAAGTTAATCACCCCACCTCTCTCTGTTTTCCATTTTTCCAAATAGCCCTGTAGCACCAGAAGGCTTTATCAGGCACCCCTTCTCCAGGTTCCCATGGCATCCTGTGCATGTGATCAGCTCACTCTTAACACACTGCATAGTAGTTGTCTGCTGGTCTGTCTGCTGTGAGCTTTCAGCAGGTGGGGCTGTATCTCCCTTCTGTATCCCCAACACACAGCACAGCACAGCACACTGGCTGATCTACGGTAGCCTTCGATTAAAGTTAGTTGCTTGAGTCTACCTATCTATGCCACAAATTATTCCATGAGAAATAGGAATATACAAGTCACAAGGTGAAAAGAAATTTGTTTTCTAGAAATTAAAAAAATAAATATACATACAAATTATATTTCCATTAAAACCCAAACTTAAAGGTGTATAGAAAAATATTTTCTTAATTCAGCTTCCTGGAACTAGAAGCATTTTAGAGGTGACACAACTACCATATCTATACATTTTATCTAAAATTAAATTCACTAAAAGATGGGCTGATAATATAGGTCCCCAAGAAACTGATATCCTTTAATATTTGTTCACCATTTATTTAGAAGGCAGCTAGGCACATAAAGAAAGAGTGAAGAAGTGAGCATTTCACCCATGTCCCCAACTAGCAGAGCCTCTGGACAAAACAGAAGTTTTCCAGCCAACCTGACTTGCCCTCCCCAGATGGCAGCTTAGTTACCAGATAGTGTTATTTATCTAAGCCCTTTGTGTGTTGGGGTGGAATGGGGAGCCGCCCACCGTGAGAGACTCCACCACGAGAGACTTGTCAAATAATTTATTTGAGCCATGTACTATCAAAAGAATATTATGGTTACTGTAATGTTCTCCATCTAATAATTTTCTATATTTTAAGACTCCTTAAAGACTGACGCCCTAGGAAAACATCTGCAATCTACCCTTCGGTTGTGCTCTACACCAGACAGAAGGGCCTGGGGAAGGAGTATGGCATGCGCTATGTTTCTTTCTGCAGCTGGGCTAGAGGAAAGGAATGCAGGCAGGACTCCACAGGTGCAGAGTCAATCAGTATGTTCCCTGGTCAAAAAGTCACCAGGAAAGGAGCAATGGGTCACTCCTGGTCTCCATGGCCTGTGTCTTGAGAATAAACTCCTAGGAAAAGAAGAAAGATGCACAAAAGGTTCGTACCTGATTAAATTAATGTGGTTGTTAAAACCTCTGCTAAGACTTCGTGCTGGCATTTGATCTAACCACAGCACGGGCTGGTCTGGGTCAGCAATCCTATAAAACAGAGACCTTTATAAAACCAGAAGTGTTCAGAAGCATTCCAAATAAAACATGTAGAAGTGTTTGCAAAGGTGGGGATAAAGCAACAGCTAGTCCATCATATCTAAAAACGTGATGTCCATACCTACAAATTCCAAACAGATGTTCCAGCTGGACCAGGCGAAAAGCCAGGTAAAGGTAAAGGTTTAGGAGCAGAGGACAGTTTTTGTCACGCAAATGAATATCAAAGGTTACTCTAAACTAGCTAGTTGCCAGGCACACCATTATCTGTAAAGGGACTGGTCCAGCGAAGTTCATTCAGAGGTACCACAGGTAATGGATCTGTTCTTTCAAAGAGACTGTTTCTAAAATGCTTCATGTAAATAGGTGATTGAAAATGTGACAACAATCAATTCGTTTTTTTTGTTTTTTGAGATGGAGTCTCGCTGTGTCGCCCAGGCTGGAGTGCAGTGGCGCGATCTCGGCTCACTGCAAGCTCCGCCTCCTGGGTTCACGCCATTCTCCTGCCTCAGCCTCCGGAGTAGCTGCGACTACAGGCGCGCACCACCACGCCCAGCTAATTTTTTGTATTTTTAGCAGAGACGGGGTTTCACCGTGTTAGCCAGAATGGTCTCGATCTCCTGACTTGGTGATCCGCCCGCCTCGGCCTCCCAAAGTGCTGGGATTACAGGCGTGAGCCACTGCGCCCAGCCAATCAATTCCTATTTTGAAAATATTAGTTAAGTGTATGTCAAATAATAAAGATGCCAGCAATTTCTAACAAACTTTAGAGAGGAAAACCTAACTTGGAAGGCCTGGTGTTAGCAAGCAAAACAGGGTTCATAGCCTGTTAGCTAAAACAGACTGACGTTATTTGACAATGATAAGACTTATAGTTTATTTTCACTGAGATGTTAGTTACCTTCTCCATTTAACTGCAATGTCAAACATGTCTCTCCACTGCATCAACCGTGTCTTCCCATTCATTCGAACTTTCGAGTTGGTCCATGTACGCTGCACGGCTTGCATGACCTCCAATGCGGCCAAACCCATAGCTACGAGAAAGGAATATCGAGAAGAGTTAGTACACTTTAGAGGGACTGAGTTCCACCTACTTTACAGAGTCTCAGTGATAACTCAAGAGTTAACACATAAAGGGTCAGAAGTATTGGTGATATAACAAGACCCAAGGCACGTTTCAGTCATGATGGTCCTACTAAAATTAAAACCCATCAGAGTTAACTGAAGACAACTCAAGTTGTCTGCTCCCAACTCTGCCTCCTACTGAAACAAGTGGAGGTTTGCATTCTTCCTCACTCCTATAGTAAGGAAATAGCTCCCTGGATCAGCTGTCTGATTTTGAGTAAGGACTTAAGACCTATATTCTAGTTTATACTACAGCAATAGCAAAAAAGCCAAGGATGGAAGCAGTCTTCTTTCAGAATTCAGTTTGAATGATTCTACACATTTCTATTCTGATCACATGGAGAATTTGAATAAGCACAATAAATACTAATTTATTAAAATGCACAACATGGCTTAACCACCCTTCCTCTTATGCCAGGAATATTTTCATTTTCAGGTAGTTTCCAGAATACCTCTGTGTATTCTCTTGTTTGGCAGGAAACCAGGTGTTTCATATTGCATCAGGGATCCCAAACGATCAGCCACACAAATCAGCTCCTGTACTTCAGGCTTATAACTCTCAAAATTCTGATGTAACACATCTCTGGAAGAAACATCATGTACATGATAAGGACTTTTACAACAGACATTTGGTAATCCAATTCCACCTGAGAAGCAGTCACTTCCTCCACGGGAAAACTAATGAAGCAGTCTACGACCACATAATCCTTACTTCAGTCCTTTGCACCCAACCATACCTCAGCTTAAAAGGGAATCTCTATGATGGCATGTGCATAATTGCCATCACATGCTGGTTAGTAACAGTGAAAACTATGATAACTAGTATGCAATTCAGAAGACACCTCTTTCCATTATTTGCTTTGTAAACTTCTCCAGAATACATTCCTGAATGGACTGCCTTTTTCAACAAGCAACCAAACCTCTGCCCTTTGTCCACTCCTCAACCCTGCCCAAGTTGTATTAGAACAAGTATACTTGGAATGATACATTGAAATACTACTGTTTAGCTGCCAACCTGCTTGATGCTTTTATAACAAAGACTGAAACTCTAAATTACAGGTTGTTCTGGGGATCTCCAAGACCATCCTTACTCAGGCTCAGAAATTGGCTGAAAGGGCTCAGTGGACTTAGCACATAATGATACTCACAATAGTGAGTATCATTTTTTATTTTGTGTCCTTTACAAAACAAAACCGGCAGAGGGAAGAGGCACATTGGGAGAAGTCTGGAGGAAACCAGTCACAAGCTTCCAAGGGTCCTCTCCCAAGGAAGTCATATATGACACATTAAATTCTCCCAGCGATTAGTTGCGAACACGTGTAAAATGCTGCCAACCAGGAAAGCTCATTAAAGACTCAGTGGCCAGGGTTACAGACAACTTATGCCTGGCAAGTTCCCAAATTCCAGATACCCAGAAGGAAAGCAAGTGTTGAATAGAAATCACACTGTTTGAACACACAGTTTAGGCACAGGGAACCTCTCCTATTAGTTTTGGGAGTGGTAGGAATCCCCTCGAAATCCAAGTTCCCAGATACCAACCAAGGGTCACTCTTGCAAGCAGTCCTTTCTAAGGACAGCAGTCATAGACCTGCTACTATGTTAACTCTTTTGTGCATCGAAATATTTCTCAAAAAAGGAGTAGTTCGAGAACATGCATAATCTCCATGAGCAATCAATTTTCTTTTTATTATTTTTGCTCATTTAATAGTTGAGACACATAGAAAACACGAAGTCAAATTACCCAGTTTAAGAACTAGAGCAATTCATGCAGTTGTATCTACTTGTATGCTGCTTTCCTATCCCATCCTCCCATCTCTTGAAATGTGTGCTCCTGACTCACGTACCTTTTTAAAAACTAGGTTTGTTACATACATGTATATATACAATATACTCTACAGTTTGGCTTATGAGCTTTGGGAGAAAAAAATATGTGAGAGCACAGCTTACTGACTTGCTGCTTTTATTCAACATTACATTTTACAATTAATCCACATTGTTGCCTCGGTCATTTGTTTATACTGCTGTATAATATCCCATTGTGTGACTGTATCACATTTATCCATTCTTCTGTTGATGGCATTTGGGTTGATTTCCAGTGTTAGCTGTGAACAAATTCTGCTGGCAGACCTGTATAAATCTCTCCTGGTAGACATGTGCACAAGTACAAAGTTCTCTGAATAGACACAGGAACAGAATCTTATATCAAGTATGAGAATATTCAGCTTTACTAGATAATGAAAAACTGCTTTCCAAAGTGGTTGTAGCAACTTATACTCTAACCAGGAGTATAAAAGTTCTCCATAATCTCCCTTATGACCAATATTACTATTATCAGACTTCGTAACATTTGCTCATCTAGTGGCTGAAAAAAATCTCATGAGGCCTTAATTTATGAACTAAAGTATCTCTTCATGTTTGTCATTCATGTTTTCCCTGTGGTAAAATTACTTGTTCATGTCTTTTGCACACTTTTCTATTGGTTGTCTCTTATTTTTTAATTTGTAGTGATACTTCATAAATTTGGACAGTAATTCTTGGTCAGTTATTAAATTTCCAAGTATCTTTATCCAATTTGGGCTTATTTTTCTTTCCTTATGGTGTCATTTGTTGAACGGAAGTTCTTAGGTTCAAGGTAGTCCAATTTATCAACCTTTTTGTTTCAGATCTATGCTTTGTGCTTCTTATGAAATCCTTGTCTACCCCAAAGTCATAAACATCTTCATTTATATTTCCTCCTAAAGTTTAAAATATTTTGCCATTCATACTTCAGATTTTCATCCATTTGGAATTAGATTACTATGCCATCACAAATATCAATTTTATTTTATCCATAAAATAACTTAATTGGCCCACTCCCACATCTTAACCAGTCCCACTCTGATCTCTAACACACCTTTCCCATTTATCTAAGTTATCTATTCTCTTCCTTAGTCCACTTGTCTATCCCTGCAGCAATACCATTCTGTTCATTATTATATTAAGTTTTGCTACCTGGTAAGATGAGAAGCTTCCCCTTCAAGCCTGAGCATCCTCTTCTTTGGGAGTATCTTGATTACTCTTGGTCCTTTGTTCTTCAATACATTTGCTTAACAAGTGCCTCAAAAAAACTTGGGATTTTGAATGGCATTTTATTAAATATATAATTAATTTGCAGATAAATGGCCTACTAATGTTACTGAACTTCCAATCCATGAACATAGTATTTCTCACCATTTATTTGTTTTATCTTAGTAACTTTCAATTAAGTTTTGTGATCTCCATACAGATTTTATACAGATCTTGTAAGATTTACTTCTAAGTATTTGTTACTACTATAAATGATATTTTTGTTGCTTATATATAGAAATGTAACTGATTATTGTATATTGATTATAAACAATGAGCTTGCTAAACTCTCATCATTTCCTATAATTTGTAGATCTTCTAGGTTTCCTTTGTAGAAAACTATGTGATCTGCAAACAATGACAGCTTTCTATTTTCCTTTCTAATCCATATCACTGATTTCTTTTTCTTCTCTCTGTGCACTGTCTAGGACTTGTAGTTCAGTATTACAGAGAAGCACTGATTCTGGGCTTTTTGCTTTGACTCCCAATGGTAATGTTAATGTATCTACCATTTCATAAGTTAAAATGATGTTTGCTATAGGTGTTTTTTGTTTTGTTTTGTTTTTAGAGATGGGGTCTTTGCTGTGTTGCTGTAGTGCGATGGATGGATATTCACAGGCACAAGGATAGTATGCTTGATTGAACTCCTGGCCCCAGGCAATTCTACCTCACCCTCCCAAGTAGCAGGGAGTAGCGTGCCACCATGCCCAGCTTATAGCTCAGTTTTGAGAAAGGAAAAAAAAATCATCTTCATTTAAAGCACTTACTTTATGTGGGGTTGCAACCCTGGCTGCTCTTCGTAGTCTTCTATGAGGAAAGGCAAATTTTTAGCCCAGTGGTCCTTAAAGCTTCCAGGCAGATCCACATCAATGTTATATTCCGTAAGGGGGGTATCAAGGTGTGCATGAAGATATCGAGAATACTCTGCAGAAAGGAAATGAGATCTGACACATCCAAATACTGCTAAAGAAACTTTCTTATGGCTAGCTGCCATACAAATACTTTGTAACAAGCTGTTCTTCAATTATAAGAATTCTAAAGAGTTTCTAAATTTTAGTAAGTCACTATTAGTATATGATAGAGGTAACCTGCCACTGACTTGAGATAACAAGGTCAAATATAAGTCAGTCAGTCTGGGTCTACTTTGGCTACATTTTTTTTTTTTGAGACGGAGTCTTGCTCCAGCCCAGGCTGGAGTGCGGTGGTGCAATCTTGGCTCACTGCAAGCTCTGCCTCCTGGGTTCAAGCCATTCTCCTGCCTCGGCCTCCCGAGTAGCTGGGACTACAGGCACCCGCCACCATGCCCAGCTTATTTTTTGTATTTTTAGTAGAGACAGGGTTTCACCGTGTTAGCCAGGATGGTCTCGATCTCCTGACCTTGTGATCCGCCTGCCTCAGCCTCCCAAAGTGCTGGGATTACAGGCATGAGCCACCGCGCCTGGCCTAGTTTGGCTAAATTTTAATCACCTTTCCAGGAAAACCACTAAAAATCTCATTGTTTTCAATTCCAGAGCTTAAGAATCCAAGTTCAGTCTCAGATAGAGCCTGGTACTCTGTCAACTGGTATATAGATTGATTGGGTATATAATTTCACCAACCGACTAATGGACTGCTGCTTATCTCTATGAAAGCAGTGTAGGAAAAAACCCAAAGTACAGAATACCTGCCCCTTCTGCCTATAATTCACAAGCGCAAGCTCCACTGAACCAGAAAAAAGGGAATTGTAATTCAGGTAGAAGAAAGATGTTCTCTAATAGGTAGCCCCTAGCCACCTGGCTATTGGATACTTAATGAGGCTAGGGTGATTGAAACTGAATTTTAAACTTTATTTAATTTGAATTAATTTAAACTTACAAACTGATACTTGATTCAATCATCAGAAAACTTCAGTGCATGTGGAACAACTTACACATATGAACCTACTTTCTTAACTATAAATATTATAAATTCTAAATTCAGATCAAGTATTTCCAATGAAAATTTAACATCCAAATTGAGATGTACTATAGCATAAACTATACATCAGATTTCAAAGACTTAGTACAACAAATAATGTAAAGTATCTAATGAATAGCAGCTTCATATTAATTATGTTATATATTGAATGGATATTTTGGGTATACTGAATTTAAAATTATACATTATTAAAATTAATTCCACTTCTTTGATTTTCACTTTTTTAATGTGGCTACCACAAATTTAAAATTACACACACAGCTTTCCCCTTTTTTTTATTTTGGACAGTCATGGTATAAAGGGCTCACAATAACAAAAAAGAATGTAGGCTTTAATTAAAAAAACTGTCTTCAGAGACAGGAGATAAAAGGTGAGTAAAACTACAACTAATAAAAGGGTAACTGCAAGATTTGCTTTCTTCCTCACCTCATATTTCTCCAAAATATATGAGAATTTTGATATGAAGGAATGACAAGTCAAAGATACCAAGTTCACATTTAACAGTAAGAACCAGCTGGGCGTGGTGGCTCACGCCTGTAATCCCAGCACTTTGGGAGGCCGAGGCAGGTGGATCACGAGGTCAAGAGATCGAGACCATCCTGGCCAACATGGTGAAACCCTGTCTCTACTAAGAATACAAAAATCAGCTGGGCATGATGGCGCGCCCTTGTAGTCCCAGCTACTCGGGAGGCTGAGGCAGGAGAATGGGATGAACCCAGGAGGCGGAGGTTGCAGTGAGCTGAGATTGCACCACTGTACTCCAGCCTGGTGACAGAGCAAGACTCCATCTCAAAACAAAACAAAAAAACAGTAAGAACCTCACAGAATGTCAGTTTCCTGCCCTTCCTGTATTCTTGGATGAGATGTGATGAGACACAAATATTCCAGATGCTTGTCACATTTAGTTCAAAATATGGCTTTTCAACTTAAGTAAAAAATGTTTTAACTTTAGAAAGTAAAAATGTTAAAAGTGGTAGAAAATGCATTTGACTGATCTTTTGAAGATAGAAACATCTAGTCTCGACACTAGCACTGACAAGGTGTGGCTGTGGATGAGTCACCTGGCCTCTTTCAGACTCCACTGTTTCATACGAAACATAAAAGAGTCAAGCAATATGATTTCTACAGCTTTGAGCATGAAAATCCAACAATTCTGTGATTTTCTGACTTACCTCGGAGATACTTTACTTTAAGATACTCAGGGCTAGCCTTCTGGCCTGGGAGAGGATCATTCAGCATAACTTTTGTTTGTGCTTTTATCCCTTCATAAAACTGTCCCATGGCAACATGGCTGAGCCCTTTCATATACTGGCACACTTCATTATATGGCTCTAGCTGCAGACACCGCTGAGGACAAAATGCTGCATTAGTATCAACACAGTTTAGGAAAACTTTGAAATGCTTTATTCTTTACTCTGGAATTAGTTTTCCCTCCAGGTTAAACCAGACCTGTAAACTAGTCTACAGGACAAGAGCAATGATTTCTTCTCTTTCTTTTTGTTGGAGTAGAAACACTATTCTCAGTCCCCCTTCTCTATTCATTTCACTAAACTTCAATGAAGAATAATCCAGTAATTCCAATTACAGTGTTCTTATTTATGGATGCTCACCTTAAAGTTCTTAAGGGCTTCCTGTAAGCTGCCGTGGTGGTAGAGCATCATTCCCCGGAGCTGGAGGGTTTGCACATGATTTTGGTTGAGCAACAGTGCCTTTTGAAAGCTCTCAGTGGCTGCTTCAAAATTGCCCAGTTCTCTAGGTATTTAATAATAGTTATGAATACAGTATAGATATTACGGGAAACATACAGAATAAGCTATCCTCAGAATTATGGACCAATATGTAAACAAGATACCTTGATGGGAGTGTTCCCTTTGTTGCTTTTTTATAGCCTCTGACACATTACATTTCACTTACTTCTAAATCTCACCAGCTCATAGGATAACCACAGAGCTCTTGAAATTCTGTGGGGAAAATTCATCTGCTGATTTCCAAAGGCAGACGCTTATTCAAACCCCTCTCCTTGATTATTCACAATGAGTCCCAAACCCTAAAAACTGTGTAAATGTTAATATATGGATAGAAACACACTTTTCCCATTTGGAAAAAAATATACCAATTATAATCATAAACAGTTCATCATTCTCAATCAAATTCATAGCCTTAAAAATGCATTTTTTTTTTTTTTGGTCACCAAAGTTGCTTTGCTTAAAATCTAGTAAATCATTATATAATTTAGAATTCTGAAAAAAGAAGTGTATTTTAGAATTGTAACCATTCCAGGATGGAAATGGTTGTTATGGATCAATCTGCTTTTTATTTGCTTTTCAAATAGGTTTAGAAACCGGGTCTCACTGCATTGCTCAGGCTGAAATCAGCCTCCTGGGCTCAGGCGATGCTCCCACTTGACCTCCTGAAAAGCGGGACCCAATTCTCTATAAATAGTGAACATTTTTTAAAAATATAATTCCTGCTTACATTCATACAGCACTTTACAAGGTGCTTTCAAATCTGTTTTCAATTTATATTCAATAATTCTGTGAGACAGGAAGCACAAATATCATCCCTTAAACCCCAAACAAATCCAAACACACTTCTTCCAAGTTAGTATAAGAGCTCCTCAAACTATCAGATAAATAAGCTCTTGAATGTAATCCTTCCTGAATAAGGTACCTAATAAAGGGACTTTCCGTCGCTGTCTTTCTTTTCTAGCTTTTGTAGCACCTTTACAAGTGAGAAGCCAGAAGCTCAGGGAAGTTAAGCACTCATACCTGCAGAACGACCAAGGCAGAACTAAGTCATGAGCTCCTTCACTCATGCCATCCTACCTCCTTTTCATAACACAATATACTTTTTTTTTCCTGTTTTGAGATAGAGTCTCGCTCTGTCGCCCAAGCTGGAGTGCAGTGGTGCAATCTTGGCTCACCGCAACCTCTGACTCCCGGGTTCAAGCGATTCTCCAGCCTCAGCCTCCCAAGTAGTTGGGATTACAGGAACCCACCACCATGCCTAGCTAACTTTTGTATTTTTAGTAGACACAGGGTTTCACCATGTTGGCCAGGCTGGTCTCTAACCCCTGACCTCAAGTGATCTGCCTGCCTTAGCCTCCCAAAGTGCTGGGATTACAGGGATGAGCCACCGCTCCCGGCTTACTTTTTTTTTTTTTAAGCCAAAAGTCACAATGGCTCTAATCATCAGGGCAATGCATGGCGTCAGGAAGCCAAGTTCTAGTTACAACTTCTCATTCTCAGCAGATGTACATTATAATCACAACTTTTCCATCCCTTCATTCTAGGACTCTTCAAAGAGATCATAGGAAATTTACCTTAGTTACTGTCTAAGAAAGTAGCAGCAGCGTCTACACCCCAATAGCTTACAATGCCACTATTCAAAACAACCCTTGAAGGATGAACGTTTTCTAGACCAATACACACGCTGAAGTTAAGAGAGAATACTGTGCATCATGACATCCTCTGGTACAATTTATTTTTCTGCATTTCAGAGAAAATATCAACAAGTCTATACATACTTGCACAATTCAAAATACCCATCTCCTTTGGTTAAGAAATACTATTTCTTTTAAATATTATGTGAAGCTATCTTGTCTCCCCACTCTTCAGCCTCCCTCCTACCCCAACTGTTATTATTTTACTCACCTATATGCCTGCCCTAGACTTTTATATGCATCAATAAAGTCAACTTTCTGCTTCAAAGCTTCTTTGAAGGATTCAATAGCTTCCTATAAAAAGTGTAGAGAAAATTATTTCATTTGCATAATTGTTAAAATTGAGATTCACTTAAATCATAAAAGGATTTAAATATATATCCTAGTCTCTGACAGATTTTCTTTTAGGAGGACTTTTAAAAAAGAGAGGCAGAAAATGCAATAAACTATAAGTCAGAAGGATTTAATTTCAGTAAACAAATGCATTACTATGAAAAATATGAGCCTTAAATTTCTCCCCTTTACAATGGGACATCAGCTTTCCATTTTATCTACTTCATTACTAGCTACTTCATTAAAACTTTGAATACTAATCATTTCACCTTCATATTATTAATATCATATCCTTAATTAAGAAAGGCCCTAGGACCAAAAGCAAGCCTAACAGCTGTGTGAAATAATTTAAAATGATCATAACTGGCAACATTTAAAATTGAACCAAGAGACAAAAAAGAAAGCCCAATGTGAAACTGTTCCTAAAACAAGCAAAAAGGCTCCTAGATTCACCATCTGAAGGATTCCCATGATCTACGAGGAAAAAGAAAAAGTAAAACAAAACAAAACAAAAACCTTAAGTTGGAGGTGTTTGGGGTTAGCTTCCATCGGCCTAACACCAAGTCTGTGGCTAAGAAAGTGAGAACTGCTAAGCAGGCACTATCCTTTGGGAAGCTATCCTTGGAAATGCATGGTGTACTTGGCTACTGCCTAACTCCCTCTCCATCTATGAAAACTATTAATCAAGTGTACCATTCTATTTAAGTAGAAACAACCTAGGCTTAAACCAACATTAAATGTACTTTTCACTGTGACTTATACACTGCAATAAAAAAAATTACGACTATATAGCTTACTAACACTTTTCCTAAGGAAAAGACATATCTTACTAAAGTTACCTGCTATAAAGCATCATGATCTCTAATCGCTTTAATGCAAAAGACATGACTTTAGATAATTTTACACCTGATTAGATAATTCATAGAAGAAAACTACTGAAGATGTCACATACCTTGTACATGGTAGGCACTCAATAAATATTTAATGATTTGGTAAGGCACACAAAATTGTTTTGCAAAAGCAGTAAAATTCTAATTCTTTTCAAAAAGGCATTCATTCCCTGCACCTTGATTTTCTCTGGAAGGGAGACAGCAGGACAAGACAGGCTGGTGTGCAAACTCTTCAAAGGCAACGATGGGATGACAATCTACTAATTAAGGACTCCTGCTGAATATCTACGGTTGGGTAGAGAGATGAGAATGGATAAACTTTAACATTTAAGAAATGTTAAAGATCACTTTTAGTTAGGCTTCTTGCCATGGTGTAACCTTGATCTTTTAAGACTTTACCACTATATTCTTAATTCAGTAAACATATATTGAGCGCCTACTATGTGCCAGAGACAGTGTGAGGTGCAGGGAAGGCAAGGATGAGCCAGTCATTATCTCTGTCCTCTAAGAATGGAGTCTAGTTAGAAAGCCAGTTGTGTCACCAGGTTATCGGAATACAAATTAAGAGCTGGAATAGAGATATAAGTAAGTCTCTGAGAATGAAGAGAAAGAAATCACTAACTGAGCCTGGGGTAAGAGAACAGGCTTCAGGGAGGAAGTGACAATTGAGTTGGGCCTTGGAGAATGAAAAGAAATTTGGTAAAGAAAGAGGGCATTTTGGAGAGGGGAAATAGTACTGTACAGTGGCACAGATCACTCAGAAATGGTACAGGAGTGCAGGGTGCATGGGTGGGTGCAGTGGAGAGGGAAAAGATGGGAGACCAGGCTAACGTGGGAAGCTGGGCCAGGAAAGGAAGGGCCTCCTGGGCCAAGCAGTGTAGGCAGTGAGGACTGGGGGGCTTCACACAGGTGCATGACCTCAGGAAATGTACTTTTTAGAGATGATTACTACTAGCAGCAACAAAGACAGACTAGAGACAGAAGGGAATGGAGACAGGGAGCCAATTAGGGAGTTGCTGCAGTAGTTGGAGCAAGAGATAATGAAAGCTCAAACTAATAAAGTGTCTCTGAGGAGAGAAAAGAAGGGTCAACCTCAGGAGACATTTTGAAAGGCAAACTACAACAGAGTTTGGTGGCTGCCTGGGTATGGGAGATGAGGGAGAAGAAAGGGTAGGAAGCTTTTAAGCTGAAGAGCTTGGGTGGGTGGCAAGAACATTAACCAAGTAAGGAAGTACAGGAGAAAGGGCAGCTGCAGGTGGGGATGGGGTGGGGCAGGAGGGAATAACGAGCCCATCGGGGCGTGTTAAGTCTGGAGTGCTTGTGGACAGCTAGGTGGAGACGCCCAGGGGGCTGCCCACTCCACTTACAGCATGCTTGGACGCCACAGTTCTTCAAAGTCTGATTTCTCTTCAGCTTTTAAGAGTCTTTGGTTTCGGGGTTCCTGTCTAATCACTGCACAGCTCTCTACCTCATTCTGCCAAAGAGGGGACATAGTAGAATCAAGATTTTAAGGCGTTGGGAACAAAGAAACTACGTTTGAATGAATCAATCTCTAAGCATATGAACTGGCTCTGAATTAATTTGCTTGGCAAATGCCATCCCACCATTTTCAGTCCCCATCTTTCTTACTAGTTGACAGGCAACCACCACCCTAGGGCTGTTCCTTGTAACTAAGAGAACACTCTCAGAAAACTCTCAAAGTGAAGACTGATGGTGCTTGGGACGCATGGTTTGTGAAATATCCTTACAACATAGATAAAACAATGGAATTCAATAGAAAAGTTTTTGTTGTTTCCCTGGGAAGATCCAAAATGCCTGATATAACCCCTGGATTAGATAGTTGTAAAATTTGTAATGTAATATTGCCTAATATACTTCTAACGTATTACATCATATAGTAAATAAGCAATCACCCACTCAATTAATTTCTAAATTGCTGTTGGCCAAGAGAGACCACCTTTAGGATATAAAGATAGCTCAAACTCACTGGTCCATTTAATACTTGTCTCTGCGGTTAACAAGAGAAACAGAAAAACCTAGACAAAGTTCATTTATTAATTCAGCCGTTTCACTACCGACTCAGTTTTCCAATCTGTGTAACAGGGACACCCTCCACTCCTTCTATACCTCATGGAGATGCCGTTGGGATGAAGGAGTCAGTAAGTAACTACTCTAACCTCCTCAGACAGTGGATCTATAAAAATGCAAAGCAAGAGTTCCCATCTATTATACTTGCTGATGCTGTGCTTATGAGCATGGTGAAAAGGACAGAGTACCAAATAACTTGGTAGGACTAGTTTGCTGAGGGGCTTTTAATGCTCAAAATGAAAGCACTGTTTCTAGGTTCTTATCATGCAGATCTAAAGCAAATCAAACTGAATTTCAGTTCTTGTGCAATTTGTAGTTAGTTTCTCTTTTCTGAAAAATTCTCATTTTCAAATACCCCAAAGAGCCCCATCCATGTTCCTAAACCTGGCTTTACAGTAACAATGTTAAAAGTGAAACCGTTTGCATTTGTTTACTTTTAAAAATATTTTCAACCTCTTAATACAAATAGGTTGGTATTTTTTGTATTTGTAATCTTTTTCTCCTCCATGAGATATCCAAGGGATATAATTTGAGTAGAGTACCGAAGTTCTGAGTTTTTAAAATTTAAGGTGACTGTCAGAGAAGATGAGAGGAACAGAGGGCAGATACAAAATAAACTGGACAAGTCTATCTGGCAGCTGCTCAAAGCATGTTTTAAGAAATTGTTCTCAAAGCCTGCGGCTGCCAGTCTGAATCCTGAGGGGAGAGAGAGGTCTTTATTAGGAGTATCCTCCACATACTTCCAAAAGGAATGTGAGGTTTATGAAATAGAATCTGCAAAATTCCTTTTGGTTTGGTTTTTAGTGGGATGGGAGTTTTCTTTTAGAATCTGTAAAACTTTAAATTTTCACAGATAAAATAATCTATAATAATTAATATTTGATTCCTGTTTAAAGCTTACAAAGTACTTTTCACATAGAGTATTTTATTGAATCCTCACGATCACTCCAAGAGGCAGAAAGTAGAATTGTTTCCACTTTATAGACATGGAAGGAGAAACTGATTGCCCATGGAGCTTGGAGCGAGAGCTCAAACCAAGACCATTCAACATCAACTTCAATGCTCTGTCCTTGAAATTCATTATTGCACTAATACGTATTGAGCACCTACTTTGTGACAGGCACTGCCCTTAACACTGAGGATTTGCAATGTGCAGCCTTTTCACAGGTAAACACTCTCCCCACAACCCAAATATATGTATGTCAGATCCTCAAACCTCTTTCAATAATAAAATGTCTGTTCTTTCTGCAGAATACATATCCCTGCCACACATTACTAAATTTCTTCACAGCCTTCAAAGTTCTTGTTAAGTACCACCTTCTGGGGCTCCTGTCAGAATGAATTGCTTTTTGGCTGTGCAGGCTGCCTCTGTTTCGTTCTCAGGCCCGTCTGTCTTCCATCAGGTAGCTTGGATATGTCCTGTGTGAGAGCACCTACTGTGTGCCAGGCCTTGAGCGGCACTAAGGAGGCCCAGGTGAGAGAGGCAGCTCCCCGTCAGGTTCCAGGCCCCCGGCTCCTGTCACAAGCCTTCTCACAGTGGGTTCCCCGCACAGACTCGGAACATGGAATCGAGTGCCCAGGCAGGAGGAAGGGCCAGGCTGGAGGCCACGTTTCTGCCCATACTTTCAGTCAGTTCAGATAGCTTTCCTGTTTCCCTCTACCTCCTCTGCCCAGCAGTCAGGCAGTTCTCAAGCAATACTAATACAGTCAATCAAAGAAGGGTCTCCCAACCTGTTCCTGTGGTCTCTCAAGGAGCTGGGTCAAGTTTCATGCCCACTGACCTAGACCCAACCAATGTCACCTAGTCAGTCCTTCTGTCCCTCATCTCCTCAGCCACCACACTGTCAGAATCTACTTCCTAAATTACAGATTTGGTCTCAGTGCTGGAATCTATGCATTTTGGCAACCTAGAATTTATAGATCCTCTGGTCTGCAAATTTAAGTCAAAATGCTTAGCACAGTACTCCAGGATAAGGACCTGCCCTCCACCGACCTTCCAGCTTCATCTCCCTTAAACCATACCCAACTACTTCCCACTCTGTGAACTGCCCATATTTCCATCTCCCCAAGTCATCACCCACGCTCTCCTCTCTGCCTGAAGGGCTTTTCTTCTCCCACCTCCACCCCCTAATCCTACTCAGTCTTCCAGCTCCAGGACAAAGTCCACCTGTTCTTTGGAACTTTCTCTAACTCTGCAGTTCCAATGAATCTTTCTTATCTACATTTTCAAAGCACTTTGTTTATATTACATTCTTGAGTATGTTTACCATATGATAAATTATATGTGGAAAAAGCTTTGCAAACTGTATCCTCTATAAAGGTAAAGTATCATTTCTTCCACTTATTAACCTTTGATCCTTTCCCTTTCTGTATCTCCCTCCAAGAACCCATCAAAGAGTAGGAGCTCAATAAATAATAAATACCAGCCATCAATCAAACGAAATTCCTCCCACCCACAAAAGAGAAGCAGAGTCATCATATGGTACACATATGCACAACACTTTCACCTTCAGAAGTCCTCTGTGAAAGAAAGTTAAACCTTTGTATAGCATAGCTATAGGCTGGTTTTTGTTCAGTTCTAAGGACTGCTGAAAGTCTTCATGGGCTGTTGCATAGTCCTACAAAAAGGAGAGTGGGGGGAAAAATAAAATAGTATTCATTAGATATGTGAACATTTCCTAATTTTTGGCTGGTAGAGAAAAAAAATCTCAATTCATCCTCTGCCCTTTTTGGCTTTAAAGGAAACATTTCATGACACTATATATTGGTTAAGTGCTTATACTACTCATTCAAACAGTTGGGAGTTTTTTAAGAAAAGCGATTGTGAGAAAAACAAAGGTTTAATTTAAGCACTCTGTCTCAACTACAAAAAAATTTATCTCAAATAGTATTATGGTAATAATCTGTTAGAGAAATTTCTGGTACTAGCATTTTATCATACTGGATATTCCCAGAATAATTATGCCACAGATTAACATTAAAATGTGTTATGCTGAGACTCTTTTAATATATTTTCTTTGGCACAGAAAATTGTTATTTAAAGTACTATAAGCCACAGAAATAATTGTGGCAATCATAAATGCCACTCTGATGATAAAAGACAACCTTGTCAGGCTTGGGTCACTTACATAGAGAAGCTACAGTCTGGAAAGCCATGCTAGTTCAGGGTGTGTTTCTTGGGCTGTGAAACCCAAAGAAATTCAAATTGTACCGCTAAGTTTAATAATCACATTGACAACATGCACACCTGCTTCCCTATGAGGACATTTGCGAGAAAGATTGACATACAATCCACAAACTAAATTTATCTTTCTCTCTCTTTTTTTAAATGCCAGTCCAGAATTAGTTATTGCTGACAGCTCAAACAAGAAAATGTTTTTAGTACTTAATGTTCTCCACTGGGTTTAATTTCAGCTACAGAAAATGCTTTTATAACTCTTATGACACAGACATATTACTAAACAGTCAAAGCCCAAATCTATCAAAGAGTCACTTTCTGAGGTCAAGGGAAAAATGAAATCTTCATCATCATAAAAATACTTCAAGACAAAAACCAGTCACCTCTGATATGAAGTACAGGGTTCCCCGATGTCTGTACAGCCGTGCTGAGGGCTGCAGTTGGATAGCTTTAGTGAGGTCATTCACTGCTTCATTAATTCGTCCCAGAGGGGACAGAATCTAGAAATCCCAAACATGTAATCAGGAAGAATACCAATGACCAACCCTAAAATCCCAATGTTTTTGACTCTTCAATTCCACCTCACCATACTCCACTCAAAAATTACTCTCAGCAGGCTGCAATCCTTGACCCCCTATATTATGCGGTGGGGTTCAAAGTCAACCAGCTGAGGTGCCACTAATCTTTGTCCAGTCAAGCAGGAGGCTGATGAACTATGACTGCAGCAACTGCCTTGTCACTATTTCACATTCTGGGTTGTATCAGATGTTGCTTTTCCTGCAATGTGATTTTTTTTCTTGATTTTATCTTTTAAATCAAAATTTGGCATCTATACACAAAGATGTCAAAATTAACCTGAAAGATAACTTTGAACCATTAAAATAGACAAATTATCGGACACAGATTAGAGTCTTCCATGGTCTTTAGCTCTGTCCTCTATGGTAAGAAGAGCTGAATGACAACTTCTAAGATTCCAGATGCTCTTTAAGCCCTTTTGTGTAACAACTTTTAACTCATGAGTCATGATCTGCAGAGTAGGAGGAAAAATATCTGCAAGCCTGTTTGGAAAAGCTCTTTTGAGCCAGCAATCAGTTGTATTCAGGCAACATGAAAATATAGAAGACAGTTCAGAATGCAAAAGTAAACCAAAAAGACATAAGAAAATCCAAAATGGGTATCAGTGTTCATGCAATTAAGCCCAAGCACTTTATCCTGAATGAACGTCCTTAAATTAGGGTTTATTTTGTTGTTGTTTTAGAGACAGGGTCTCACTCTGTCACCCAAGCTGGAATGTAGTGGCACAATCATAGCTCACTGTAACCTCGGACTCCTGGGCTCATGCAATCCTCCTACCTCAGCCTCTTGAGTAGTTTAGGCTACAGGGTTGTGCCATCATGCCCTGCTAATTTATTTTTTAAAATTTTTTGCAGAGGTAGGGGTCTCACTACATTGACCAGGCTGGTCTTGAACTCTTGGCCTTGAGCAATCCTCCTGTGTTGGCCTCCCAAAATTTTGGGATTACAGGCATAAGCCACCATGTCCAGCCTATTCCATCCTTATTAGACAGGTTATTTCTACCGAATTTTATAATTTCCTACTCTACAGAAGTTTAAAACCAGCAAGAAAGAGGATTCAGGCAGGCCTATCACCAGTAGTAAGCATGATAGCTCAGAAAGAGGAAAGAAATTGAATATATGTCTGAGAATTCAAAAAGCACAGTGGGCTGGGGTTGTATTTGGGAAGGAAAATCATCCCTCCCTAGTTTATCAACCCCTAGGTACATAACTGAATTATCATACCCCAGCACAACAATCAATATGATAATAATGAGTAACTTTAAAAAGTTAATTTATGTTCATCAAATATAGAATATTTCAGAAAGCATGAAAGTGAAAGATTACTCATAAAATGACCTCTGACATATATAAATGGTATGTTATAATTTAGCCGGAAAATTCAGTATGTAGTAACATTATTGCCCAAACAATGCCAGAAAAACAGAATATTATTATACATTTTTAAGACAATTAAAAATTATTTTTCTAATTACCAATGCCATTTTTGATAAACAGTAGTTTTTTATTAGATATGCAAATTGTAAAGACCTGTTAAATAATTCTTACCTAAATATACTTAACTCATGATTTACCAGATTTTAACATAAACCAGAGTAATATAGGGGAAAAAACATCAGTCCCCCCTACCAGAAGCAGATGATTACCAAATCTGTCACCAAATTAGCCACTAAACACCAACTAAATACCAGCAAGTCTCATGCAGTGATAAACTATAGTCACTTAACCCTTAGGGTTACAATTCAAAATAGAGAAGAGGTAAGAAATTAAATCATTCATTGAGAAAGATTTTATTCAAAAAGCCAAATCCCCAACAAAACAAAAATTCACTTTAAGAGACTGAACTGTAAGACACAATAATCTTAAGAACAAAAATACCATAAATACAGTTTTTAAATTCCTATACCTTTAGCACTTCCTTTACTAGCTTTCTCTTCCAAAAGAGAAAATAAAAAGTAATTTTTTCTTTAGTTCAACTATGAGATCATATCAGATGATTAAAAGTTGTTTTATTCAGACTAAATACATTAACACATATGAAGCCTAGATAGCTTATTATTTTAAGAAAGTAAAACAAACACATTTCACTTAAAAACATAAAACAGAATGCCTTTGTACAGACTCTCTTCCCTGCGCTGAACACTCTCCTCCATCTTGTCCCCACCACACCATGGGACTGGATCAGCTCTAGCCTCGCTTCCTCCGACAGCCTCAGCAAACACTCCCAACATTCCCCTTCTTCTCTTCCCAAAGAAGCGCCTCCTCTGTCTACTTGAGCCAGTATTACATGGCATCTTCACCACATATTATCTGTCTCTATGTCAAGTTCCTTTAAGATGTGGCTGTCATCATCCTCACTTGATCTATGTATCCATGCACCTAGGTCTATATCATAAGAATTACATTTAAGTGCTTACACACATACACATCAGCAGAATGAACGCTTCCAAGGGCTGTGAATTCCAGTTTGACCTAACAGTCATATCAAGTCTTGCTAAAGTATGTCACATATACAGTAAATATTATGTGTTATATTTTTCAATGAATATTATGTGTTATATTTTTCAATGAATATTATGTGTTTTTCTTTTGTGTTATATTTTTTGTGTTTTTTTTTAAATTTTATTATTATTATACTTTAAGTTTTAGGGTACATGTGCACAATGTGCAGGTTTGTTACATAAAGACTTGGAACCAACCCAAATGTCCAACAACAATAGACTGGATTAAGAAAATGTGGCACATATTACCATGGAATACTATGCAGCCATAAAAAATGATGAGTTCATGTCCTTTGTAGGGACATGGATGAAACTGTGTTTCTTTTGTGTGTTGTATTTTTCTGTGTTATATTTTTCAAAATATAACACAAATATTATGTGTTATATTTTTCAATGAATATCTATAGAAGTAGTACACGTCATATTTTCATACTAAATATTTTCAACCACATATTTTCATACTAAATATTACTCTTCTATGTTAGTTCAGGAATATCACTCAATCCATAGTTTTCTATTAATTTCAACCATGCTTAAAGGCATTAAGTACCGACATAGAAAAACATAAGAGTTTTAAGGGAGCATTAAAATTTACAAATAATAAAGTAATAGGAAAAAAATTGAGATTCAACTAATCCAATAATGACAGAGGGAAAAAGAAAGCCACACTCACTTCTGCTCGCTGCTCAAATACCTCTGGACGATCTGGTTCCAAGGTAATTACTCGGCTCAGTTCGAACAGAGCAAGCTCAGCATTCTTAATGTCCTTGAAAAGGCATTAGCTTAGTATGAGACATACTGTTACTCAAAACCAGGCTGAAAAAATTTTCTGAGAAAACTAATAATTTAGTAATGATGTAACCAATTGTTTAAAAATAAATATGAACTTCACTTCTATGTAAGAGATGTGCCATGTCAAATCAGTCATGATATTATAATTATTTAACTCACTCAAGTCTACCTACTTACTCAACAATAACATGTTAGACCCGGCTACCTATCACAAATTCCACAGATGGCAGGATATTATCTAAACTTAATCTACTTAAACATGGAATCAACGAATCTCAATGGATGAGTATGTGGATACCAGCACATGAAATGAGGCTGACCTGTGGCAACAGGGGAACAGAAATGGGTCAAGACAGTGTCTATCAAAAACATAAGCCTATAAATCTATACCTTAAGAAGTTTAGGTACATTCTCTTTAACATTTGCACATTATTTTTACATTAAAAATGCATGTGCAACTTTTTATTAAATATACATGCAAATTTAATCTCAAGATATATAATTTTAAAAGATGAGAATTAGGAAGAGGCAGCTCTGAACTTTACTACTGCAACTTCAACCTGGTCATTCATTGATGCTCTGAGTAAAATATCATTTCCTTCCTAAGCACTTCCATCATTCCCAATTCTAAATTCATTCTCAGTCCTCTATGTCTCAAAGTATACAAATACACAAAGTTTCTCCAATAGGCCAGCACAAGGTTAGTATAATATTAATTGTAATATTTTATAAATTGTAATAAAATAAAAATGTTAAACATTTTTAATATTTTAATGTAAAAGTTGCAAAAGTGGCATTTCTCTCAAAGCACAATTTCACACAAATATTTTTAGTATACAATAAGACAATAGAAAAAGTTTGCATATAATGTCCTAGACTAAAAATTTGGAAAGCTGAACTTACACCATTTCGTGATTTACTATATAATTTCAGGAGTCTTCATTTTTATACCATAGTACCTTTGTTTGTGTAAAATATGATTATTATAGTCCTTCTCCAGCCTTCCTCAGAGAAATAAGGGGAATAATTTGATTACAGCTACAAAGATATTACGCCATATGCAAAAAGTATAAAATATAACAAATAAAGATAAATTTTACATGCCTAAAAAAACCTTTTGTTCTTTCACCAACCTTTAATAATTGTGAAAGGAACTCAAACTCTAAGTCCTACTGCACTATTGATGCCCAGTCTCCACTTGGACCATTGAATATCTCTTAGGAAAGCAAGCAGGGTCTCATGCTTTTCTTAGTCTATCCAGTTCATCAAAGTTGACTTCAGAAGATCTGGGTGGAAATCCCCAGTCCACCACTTACTAGCTGCCATTTTCTCATCTGTGAACTGGAATGATAGATACCACTCCACATCCCATCAAGGGTCAATGAACAGTAGCAGTTCTAGCAAAACCCTGGTCTGTGTCAGGTCATGTAGGCGCTATGGCAATCGTAACTATTACATACTCACATGTAGTCCCTTCTTTCCATAGGCTATCCCTCGGCCATAAATTGCACTAACCAGATCAGGCTCCTCCTAGTCAGACCAAAACAAAAACACGTCAAAAACCATAAACAAAACAAAACAAAAAATCAGTTTCTGCTTAAAGCACGTTAATGCCGCAAGTGACAGCTCTACTTCTTTATGCTACGACCACTCGTAAGTCAATACGCAGTCTCCAACCTGAAAAGTCTATGTTCTTAAAGCTCATTTGTATGAAATGTGATAAAAGTTTCATGTTGAAAAAAATAATAGAGAGAGAAGGGAACCAACATTACGCAGAAACATGCTGGTTTCTTTCACAGGGTCATCTTATTTAAAATGCAATCCTCTCAACAACTCTGGCAGCATCAGCAATCATGTCTTACAGAGAAGAAGGAGGCTCAGAGGGGTAAAGAGATGTGAGCAAAGGATTAGGTAATGCCTGTAACTAATGTGTTTTCTTTCATATATCCATGAAATTACCTGAAAAGGAAAGAACCACTCAGTGCCAACACAATGACGAACTAGAAATGAGGCTGCACTGAAATCTGTTGGAGATTAATTCAACCCTTCATACTAATGGGTTGAAATAAAAAACCAGACTCTTTTTGCAGCCTGCTCCCATGCTTTCTCCTGTTATTCTGCAATCCAGATGGGGTGGAGGAAACATCTATCAGGACCAAGGACAAAACATCTGTTGACCCCGGCCATTGAGTCCTTACACACAGGTTAGTTGGTGAGTGAATGAAATGCCTCTCATCTACATTTAGCCTCTACAATTTTTACTTCTCTGAATGGTTCGCTATACAGTTAAGAAAGAAGAATAAACAGCTGCCTCTGGCTATAAGGTCCTGGGTGGAAGTCTTGCACTGCTAAGGGATTTAATAGAATGGCACTGGATTCTCCAGAAAGAAACTCTGCAAAAACTTGATAGATTAATCTACTGTTCAGTTTCAAATCTGAGCTAGGGTATCTGCCAGTATTATAGAAAATGAACACATTCACTTCAATGATGAGTAAATGGGAAAAAATAAAGGAGAAGATAACACGCATTTAAATTTTCCTAAAGGCTACTCAAATAGAATGAGATGCATCTATATCCAGTGGTAAACTGGCATATCGCTGGCCACAACCCAGACAGCAGATTGGACTACACGGTGTATGAAAAATTGCAAAAATTCAACTAAACAATTTTAGGTTTCTAGCTTCTCTTAGAACATCAAAAGATCCAACAAACATGGGCCCACATTTTGGCATTCTCACACAGCAATAAATAAGAGACTAGAGCTAAGCACTGGCTGTCTCTATAGATGAGAGGTACAAGTCCATCAGTTCACCACAGGGCCTACCCATCACAGCCACACTGCACCAACTTTCTTTACTCATGTTACCTCCCTGGCCCCTACAAAGTTCTGGATTTATGAATTATATGTAACTGGTATAGAGGTTGCTCATGCTATTTTCTAAGAGGGGCGGGGAACAGTACATGTTATAGACCTACAGAAAGATGGTAGTCATATTTCATAAATCATACTTATACGTGATTGTGTGAGCCATTAGGTGCACAGAAATAAACTCCAAAATGCTACCAGGAATTTCCTCTGGGGAGTGAGATTACTAGATATATTCCCACTGTACTTAATATATTGTTATATTCCTGTTAATTTTTTAAAACAGACATGCTCATTTATAATCAGAAAAAAGTATGTTTTAAGTAATACATGTTTCCCTGTAAAAATTTTAGAAAATGAAGAAAAGCACCAAGCAGAAAGTAAAGGAGCCCTATAAGCCTGCCCCCCCAGAGATAAGCACTTTAAACATTTAAGTATTCTTCCTGGCTTAAAGGAAGGCAGAGTAAGTGGTTTGGATGGAGAAAGGATACAGGTGTCAGGGGGAAAAGGGGAGCAGGAAAAAAGGGAACCTAATGAGGAATTAAAAGTAAGACTGGCGTCATGCTTTTCTGTAGCAAAAAAGCCAGAAGACAGAACAGTCAACAGTCGAACCGAACCCTGGCCAGGCTGGGGTGGGAGGCGGTAAGCCCAGTGAGCTCATCCTCTAGAGCAGGGGTGTCCAATCTTTTGGCTTCCCTGGGCCACATTGGGAAAAGAATTGTCTTAGGCCACACATAAAATACCGTAACACTAATGATAACTAATGAGCTAAAAAAAAAAAAATATCATAATGTTTTAAGAAACTTTACAAAGCTGTGTTGAGCCACATTCAAAGCCATCCTGGGCTGCATGTGGCCCATGGGTTGGACAAGCTTGCTTTAGGATAACATACATCTCCAGGAAGAACCAAACCTATGCTCAGATTTGTTATGGTTCAAAATATATTATCCAAGCTGCTTTTCTCCTAACAGAAAAAAGTTTACTCCAGATGACCAAGAGGTGAATCAGAAAAAGATGTAAATAAGCAGTTATTCTACAAATACAACTGGCATCCCCGCACACCCGTGGCCGGGGCTGGTGCTCTGGCATCCTCCTGCTCTCCAGGTCACACACCCCTCACCAAATCCTGGCCATCTCACCTCCTGAACAGATCAGCATCCTCCCACCCACTCCATCAGCCACTGCCCTATTCTAAGCCTTCCTCTCTCACCTAGGATACTGTGATCACCTTACCTGTTCCCATTTCTTCCTATCTATTCTCCAGATATACACCAAGAGTTATCTTTCTAACACTAAAGTCTCATCATATCATTTCCCTAACTGAAATTATTCAGTGACTCCCCAACACCTAATACAGTGACATTCAAACTTTTTAAACTCCAAATCACTGAAATACATTTTACATTACAATCCAGTACACACATACACATGTGCACAATATATACACACATGTATCAGAAAACAGTTTCAGTAGGTTATACCTAGGACTTCCTATACACAATGGAATCTGATATTTTCTAGTCCAGCATATTTCACTTAAAAAAAAAAGTGCTAATCTTGACTTGCCAATTAATTTCAGGACCCACTAAAGGGTAGCAACTCACAATACAAAAAAAAAAAAAAAAGGTAACATCTAAATGGCTCTGCAGAAAATATTAATCATTTTCCTGCTTACTGTTCAGCCTCATCTCCTTCCTCTTTTTTTTTTTTCTTTTCATAAAGACAGGGTCTCACTCTGTCACCCATGCTAGAGTACAGTGGTGCAAGCCTAGCTCACTACAGCCTCAAACTCCTGGGCTCAAACTCCCACCTCAGCCTTTCAAGTACCTGAGGCTATAGGAGTGCACGATCACACCAGGCTAATTTTAAAATTTTTTTGTTGAGATGGGGGTCTCACTTTATTGCCCAGGCTGGTCTCAAGCTCCTGGGTTCAAGCAATCCTCCTGCTTCAACCTCCCAAAGTGCTGGGGTTACAGGCGTGAGCCACCACACCCAGCTTCACTTCATACCCTAGAAATCAGAATCATTTAATAATTCCCTACATACAAGATGCTTTCCCAAATGCAGTGCATTTGCAAATGCTATCCCCTCTGTCTGAAACACTCACCCATTGCCTCGGTCCCCAAGAAATTCCTTTGATCCCTTAAGTCTCAGTTCAAACACCACCTTTGGATTCCTTCCAGACGCCCCTGGAAAATAAATATGCTCCTTCTCCTTTATTCCCACTGTTCACTGTATGGATGTCAGCCATTCATTCCACAATTATTTACTCAGGGCCTACTGTTAGCTATCTCAGGTTCCATGTGCTAGGAATACCATGCAAAGTCATGCTATTCTTGCCACATACTAGGAATAGCAAGCAAAAACCAACACAGAAGACAAAGATTTGCCTATCAGATCAAAGTCAGCTCTGCTAAGCCTATTCTTCCCAAAGGGAAGCAAGCAGGACAACATGGCTAATAATAGTGGGGTGCAGGTCAATGGAAAACAAGAGCCCGATCCAGGGTAACAGGAAGGCAAAGCTCTATGACAGATGTGCCACAGTGAATGACGTATGGTGGCCCTCCAGCTCTTGCAGCTGGAACATTTTTATAGTAATAAAAATTTTAAATTAAAAAAAAAAAACAGCCATTCAAAAATTTGCAACAGCTGAAATATCCGAACACTGACAACTTCCTAAAGGTAGCCATCATCATCTTGACTGCAGGATTGGATGTGTGCCCCACACAGAGGCCCTCGCACGGGCCTCCCCTCAAGTCACCCCATGGTCTCATCATTACTACAGCACTGAATTGATTACTGTGCTTATCTGTAAAGTATTTAGGTTTTCTCTATTCAATTTATTCTTTCCTTTTTTTTTTATTTTTTATTTTTGAGACGAAGTCTCGCTGTCGCCCAGGCTGGACTGCAGTGGCGCGATCTTGGCTCACTGCAAGTTCCACCTCCAGGGTTCACGCCATTCTCCCGCCTCAGCCTCCTGAGTAGCTGGGACTACAGGCGCCAGCCACCATGCCCAGCTAATTTTGTTTTTGTATTTTTAGTAGAGACGGGGTTTCACCATGTTAGCCAGGATAGTCTCAATCTCCTGACCTCGTGATCCGCCCGCCTTGGCCTCCCAAAGTGCTGGGATTACAGGCCTGAGCCACCACGCCCGGCCCAATTTATTCTTTCTTTTTAGAATTTTTTCCTAACAGTCAAGAAGGACATATAATTATTGTGGCTGTTATATCTACAGTCTAGTATTAAGCCTTCCTAAATTTAAATAACAGATTTTATTACTTTTAAAAGTTGATACAACTTTATTTATTATTTTATCTATCATTAGCTAAAAGCCAAAAACTTTTCTTTATGGAATGCCATAGTAAATTATTGGGTTTTTCCAAATAAAAACCAACGTTTATTCCTAAAAACAAATTAGGCTCTGAAGAGCAATTTTTCAAAATATTTTTATAATATTTATACTTTATAAAGTTTTCAGAAACTTTTTAAAAAGTTTCTTTAAAAAGTTTCTATACTCTTAAAAAGACTGAAATGAAAATGAATACTTCAATCTTCCAATTTTACTTTATGCAACTGCAAAATCATGGTATAACAGTTGCCTAAATGGTGTTGTGTCTACTTAGATGTCTCAATTCGCAAAAAAAAAAGAGTCTAATATATTATCCTCATTTCATTACTTATATAGTGACTTTAAATTTTACAGTATTTACTGTATTTACCACTACAAGGCTGGCTTTTTTATTAAAACTGGGAAGTCACTGGATCTAAAAACAAACAAGTCGAAACAGTCAGTAGATAAGCAATGTAATGAGGATTAGATTTCACCTAAGTGACGAACACACATATTTACATAAAGGATGTTATTTAAAATTCTATGCAGAGGAATGTTTCCAATTTTGTATGCTAATGTAAAATAGGAAGTAATATTCTTTTACAAGTTCAGTTCCACTGGAATCAGATCAAAATCAGATGAGCTCAAGGTCACATAATAAATAGCAAAGGCCAAATTATCTCATAAAATTGTTGAAGCATTTATGTTAAACCCATCCCTGCATGAGGACCAAAGCAGCACAGAAATCAGGAAAAAGTTCTACTTTTCAACTCAAGAACACTATTACTGATGCACTGACACACATGGAAATGACTTCAGGGCATTGGCATAGAAGCAACACTAACTTATAAGCTTTAAAAATCAAGAGTTTCCAATGCAGACCAACATCTATTAAACCCTGTCATTGTGCTCAGTTAGAAACCTTGATACTTCTGTAAAGGAAAATCAAACCACAGGGAATAAACATTCCAATAAACACTTTGAAACACCGAGGATTATGGAAATATTTCCCAGGTTTGTAACCTGATGGTGAAACCAAGACAACAGGAAAGGTATAAGAGCTTTATATCAAAAAGTCATTCTGGAGTTAAAATACCCTTTATATGTAGATTTGAAAATCATATTAAATGAGCTTATCAAAACAGTGATTCTAATAAAATCCAAGCCCCTGAGTCCCCATTTGTTGCCTGCTTCTATAAACAGAATAATATTCCATGCTCTGCTGCTTCATACTGGAGCTCATGAGCTGTCTAAAAAAAAAAAAAAGATTGCCAAGAGTTAATGAACTCAAGAAAACCAAAAATTCTGTACATGAATAGCTACCACTTTGTAGATTTGTCAAAGGACATTTACTGGCTTAAAAATACTGCATTTTTGCATATCTAGAAGGTCCTGCAAGGAACAGGTAAAAACTTATTAGCATATACAGAGAAAAATGGTTCTCAAGTGATATTTAGCTCAGGTGCAACGTGAAGAATGAAAAGTAGTAGAGCAACATCTGTGTAGGCTTGAAGAAAAGCTTCATCACTATGCTGAAATACTGGATATGAAAAAGTATTATTGAGATAAAAATGTATTTCATACTGCAAGAAATTTTATCACTACACTTGCCAACAAAAGAAAAAAACAAACAAAAAAGAAAAGAGTAATTAGATTTAGAGAATAATCATGTGTGTGATACATAATTTAAAGAGAATAATTTATGCAAATTATGATTTGTGATGAAAAAAGGATTTTCAGTCAATTGGAGAAGAAGCAATAACTATTCTTTGGACATTTGCTATCACCTACTTTTACAGTGTCTCGATGACACTGGCTATCGAGAATTTGATGAAATCAACAGAAAACTCAAACAGAGACTGCGTGCATCAATTTCAAACATAAACTCTAATATAGAAAAGTTTTGTCCAGAAAAGTAGGATCAAGTTTCTTATTAGAACTTTTGAAAACAATTTTAGCATTTAACATCGAATCTTCGTATTTTCTTTCTTTTTTTCAGAGACAGGTTCTTGCTCTCTAGCTGGAGTATAGAATCTTCGAATTTTCTATTCCTTATCAGTCATATGATACAAAGAAAATGTGACAGATTTTCACAAAGCTTTATCTGGATGCCTCCAAATTATTCTTGTTTACCCATGTGCCATGCAGATATTATTTCCACATCTGCCATGATGTGGAAAGAGCTGGGAAGCACTGAGATAAAGGGTAAGGAGAGAGAAATCACTGAGGAAAGCACCAGCAGGAAAGCCAAGGGCATTCTTGCTGCTAATAAAAATATGTTACAAATGACCACCCAGTTCATTCTTCTGCATCTGAACTTTCCACTGCCTTCATCCCTGCCCCATCAATAGTCTGAACTGCGAGCAAAGCAGTCCAATCTTATAATCCACACATTCTCAAAGACAGATTTCCCAGCTGAAAGCAACCCATTGTATCAGAGATTGATGAAAATACGATATCACATTTCAATACATTATCTTCTTTGCACAAAAAGAAAAATGCTAATATACTTTCTGAACACAATTGCAAGAGAAATGTCTTACAACTATAAATGGACAAAACAAAGGCATATTATAGAGCCATTAAAAATAAGATTGTAGAAAAATACTGATAAACATTTACAGCATAGAATTAAGTGAAAAAGTAATACAAAACAGTACATATATTCAGATTATAAAACAAATGCATACTTTGAAAAGGCATAAATAAAAAATTTAAACAATGTTAAAGTGGCAGAATTCGGAAATTTTTTATTATTTAAAATATTTTCTTTAAGAGTATTATATTGTCTTCAACCACAATGGTAATAACATTTTCAAAAAGTTGAATAAAATAATACATCTGCAAATTCCTATTTTCTGCTGGATTCTACACTCCAGCCTGGTTGCCTTAAATTAACTGATATTTGCTCCTATAAACGTATCAAAACCTCCCTTTCAAACCAGGGTCAGGTGTTAACTGTGTAAAAGTGTTTGCTTACCTTTTATAACATTGCCAATACTTAACAGAAAGGTGGTTTTTTAAACTATTTATAATCTACCCTTTGTACTTTAAATTCTACTGAAGAATAGTGTTCCACATGACCACCCAAATATACCACTCCTTGGATCCAAAGACCTCAAAGTAATAACTAAAAATATCTCATCAATTGTTTGAGAATGAAGATATTATCAGTATAATTAACCTTATTTTTAAAGAGAAAACAAAAGCAGAGCTAAAATTCCAAAATGAATCATTTAAATTAAGTCTGCCTGCTAGACTGGAAGGCATTTGTTGGCACTTGCTACGGTTAACACAGATGAATATACCAGAATGGTACTTTGACTAGCCAAAATTTACTAAGCACTTACTATGTGCCAGGCACTGGGTACTAAGTACTTTAATAGGACATTTCATTTAAACCAAAAAAGAATTTTTTTGGAGGTAGTTATTATTATCTCCATAACTCAGGAGTTTAAATAACTTGGTAGCAAGAAGCAAAGTGGATTAGAATTAAGGCATCTCTAGCTCTAAAATCCATGTCTTCTTCACTGGAAAGACACATCAACAATCAATAAATGGTTAGGCACCAACAGTGCATACAGTTGAATAATGATACAAGATACAAGGCCAATGATGCTGGGCAGCTACCAGCCTTCTTTGCAACTCTTATACATGCAGTGCTTAAATGCTTTATCTTAACTAGACTTTAGTGCAGCCACCAATCAGTAAAGACCCAATACTTCACTGAGGAGTCTCATAATTATACTTTAAGGTGAGAAACATACCTATGAGTAGAAATTAAGTTAATCATGAAGATCAACTCCTGTGTGAAATTAAGCTGGAATTTCAAGAATTTCCAGTGTCTGTATCTCATGGGAGATATTGTGGTAGAGAGGAAAGTGAACTGAAGCTAATGTTTTTTTAAAGCTTGCATTTGAATCCCATCTCTGCAATTTGATGGTCGGGAGACTATGAGTAAATTGCTTGACCTGATTAGATTCCCTTTTCTCATTTAAAATGAAGTTTTCTTTAAAATCTTTCATTTAAAAGATTAAATGAAAGCATGTCACAAGGCCTGGCAGCAAGAAAGTGCTCAGTCCATACCAATTTCTTTCACTTTCTTGTATAATTTAAAAACATGTCGTATTACAGCACTTCAGCTGTTCATTAGTCCATATTTTTGTCATGACCATAAACTCAAAATTACATAAATAAGAAGAAAATTTACCTGAAGCATTGTTGAAAAATGCCGTATTGCTTCATCATACAGACCACTGCCAATCAAGACATAAGCAATAGCTATGAAACAAAATACAAAAATATTAAAGGAAAGAATAAAGTAGTTCTAACTAGAATCAATAACTAAATGCTTTGGTAAATCTCCAAAGGCAGCTCCAAGCACTGGAAGCAGTTAAAGAAAACCTAGAAGTTAATAAGGTGTCACTGAATTCTTCTACTTTCACCACTCCACACTTGCTAATCAGCCTTCCAGTTCCATCTAGATTTAAATTGTTAAAGTCATCTATAAAATATCTGCCTACAAGAGATACTGATCTTTTTCTAAGGCCATCATTCATTTTCAAATCCCAAATAATCTTTGTGATGTCTCCTAGCTATCACAAAAGCTAGTAATAAGCCTAAATAATGTCCACATAACATGGCAATGTGATTTTTTACTGTGAATGTTATGAGAAATACCCAAATAGCATCACAAATCTCAATTCCTGGGAGTGCTGAATTTACTGCCAATTACCTAATAAGAACAAAAACAGGGACTCAAATGTATTAACATAATGCTTAACTGTGGATAATACAAACCACTATAACGCAATGACAGTCTTTTTCCTACTTCTTCCATTCAAAATATAGTCAAAACGCTACTCAAAATATACACTAAAGATGAACCACTTTGTATCACGTTGTTTAGGAAAGTGGTATTTTGAAATTAGAGCCAGGACAATCTCTGAAAACACAGCAATATTCTGACTAAATTCTCCCACCCATCCAAAAACCAGTGTTTGAATATGCTAGATTACATTGCCATCTATAAAATTTGCCCTGACTGCTTGACCCTTAGCCCCGCCAAAATCCCTGAAAAACATTTTATTCCTCACTCAACATCACTATTTTGATAACATTTATTTGCAAAAAAGCTCTTCTGTAAAGCTTTACTGCAATATCCTTTAGGACCTAACAGGTGTTCAAGAAGATAGGCAATGAAAACTTTTACTGTCATTAAGAGCTTATACTTTCTGACAGTTAAAAGCAGTAAAAATAGGCCAGGCGTGGTGGCTTACACCTGTAATCCCAGCACTTTGGGAGGCTGAGGCAGGCAGATCACAAGGTCAG
This sequence comes from Homo sapiens, assembly GCF_000001405.40. Classification (NCBI taxonomy): domain Eukaryota; kingdom Metazoa; phylum Chordata; class Mammalia; order Primates; family Hominidae; genus Homo; species Homo sapiens. The sequence goes on from NC_000001.11 coordinate 230,955,454, forward strand.
GAGATCGAGACCATCCTGGCTAACACGGTGAAACCCCGTCTCTACTAAATATACAAAAAAAAAAAAAATTAGCTGGGCGTGGTGGCGGGTGCCTGTAGTCCCAGCTACTCAGGAGGCTGAGGCAGGAGAATGGCATGAACCCAGGAGGCGGAGCTTGCAGTGAGCCGAGATGGCGCCACTGCACTCCAGCCTGGGCGACAGAGAGAGACTCCATCTCAAAAAAAAAAAAAAAGGAGTAAAAAATTAAAGCAGAAACAGAAACGAAATGCAGGAAGAGTTTAAAATACATTCATAAATCAATAAAATAAAGTTCAAATTGAACACCATAATAATATAAGCACTTCTGGGGGCATTCTTCAAAATAAAAAGAGAGCCCTTTTGCCCTACTTTCTTTGGAAAGATAAATTAAGCCCAAATTCATGCTCAGAATGCTGACAATAGATACCGTTCAGTTAGCTAACCTCCAGGTAACGAGAGGATACCTTTAGTTTTGGTGGGGGTGGTGGAGGCAGTAATATTAGTAGTAAAAACAGCAGCAAGAATCACAGTGGCTACAGGCATTGCATTCTTAATATGTGCCAGGCACAGTAATATCCTTTACCAGTATTAACTCATTTGCTCCTCCACTGCAATGAGGTAGGTACAATTATTAACCCCATTTTGCAGACAAGGAAATAAAGTAGAAAGTGGTTAAACTAGCTGTCCAAGGACCATAAGCAGTGAGTGAGAGGAAGGCAGCAAGCTGCCTGGCTCCAGAGCCTAACCTCCCAGGCAGCCCGGTACGCTGAGAAAATTCAAGTCAGTTCCCAAACCACTGTGCACTGGAGGGATGGCCAAGGGGCTGAAATTCCTTAATGGTCAGATGAACATGGATAAAAACATAAACTTGTACTTTTTTGAATGCAGGAAGATGACGATTTGATCAGAAAGCCAAGATGTGAGCTCGGATTCTGGCTCTGCCACTCACCAGCCGTGTGATCGTGGGGACCTCAGTCACTTCTCATAACTGTCTGGTCTTGCTTAATAAGCCTGTAGAAAATTTTCTTAAAGTTTCCTTTCAAATCTAAATTTTTATTTCCTATTTATTATCCCATAATCAGTAAATATCTGTTGAATGAACAAATCAATCAATGAGCCATAAAAACAAATATGATTTTTAGAGATAAATTTTGTACTTTAGGAACATATTTAGATGGCTGTCCACATCTAAGTGATTGAATTCCACTTAAAATCAAATGCAGTTTTCAAATCCCTCCACCTAAAGCTCAACATTTTGTGAAAAAAACGCAGAAGTATCCATTCATAAAAGAATAATCATAACCCAAATCTTGTGCAAATACAAATATTAGGATCTAAATTTTGTTGTAGGAGTCTAAAGACTTAAAGGAAAAGCTGGTATAACTGGACTTCTCTCAGAAATCTCTACTCACCAGCAACCCCACATCTCCGAGCAATGTATATGTTCACAGATGTCATTTTTTTCAAGAAAAAATACTGGATACAAAAGATCATAGGCCAGCTCAGGGCCTACACTACCCCAGGGTCTACTAGGATTATTCTTGGAGAACAAAACAGACCTGGCATATCAGGCTCTGAACTCATTATTCAATAAATAAATACTACTCTAAGTAGAATCCAAGGACTTCAGAAAAGACCAGATCTGATGCCTTAAAGGGCAGTCCTCAAAGCCTCCTCAAAGAATATCACCATAAAGTAATTAGCATTTTCAAAATAGCACCCTGGGAGGCCAAGGCAGGAGGATTCCTAGAGCCCAAGAGTTTGATACCAGCCTGGGCAACATGGTGAGTACTGGTCTCTACAAAACAATTTTAAAAAATTAGCCAGGCACGGTGGTGTGCACCTGTAATCCTACCTACTCAGGAGTCCTAGGGAAGAAGATCATTCGAGCCTAGTTTAAGGCTGTAGTGAGCTATGATTGTGCCACTGCACTCCAGCCTGGGCCACAGAGCAAGACCCTGCACTAACAGGAAAGAAGCCAATATAAGGAGCACTTAGTCTTAATATCAAACGTGTATGACCATGGTAAGGATAAAATAATTATGCATAAATTAGATAGAGAAGAATTCCTGCAGGTGCTTTGGTGACTGGGCCCCATGCGAAAACATGTGCTTCAATAGTTTGCCCAGTTGCACTGCTCAGCCCTGTATTCAATTTTGTCTCCACTTCTTCAAATGTAAACTCACTAGACAGCGAGGGAAACACACCCAGTGCATATCTGACACTGACAAAACCAGCCTGTTTTAAAACATGCAATGAACACACCAAACTATGTGACTCGTGCAGGTACGAATGAATTCAATTTTTCTACACCCACATTCTTAGGCCCAAAAATAACTCACTAGCCTCATGAGTAAAATAACTTAAAGTTTAAGTTAAAATAACTTAAACATAGCTATTTCACTATACAGAAAAGTAGGTAGTCTGCTTTCACTTCTTCATTGCTCACATCTGATGACAGCACACAAATAACCTTTTACTGAATCGAAACAGCTCATAAGAGCTCATTACCATAATTATTAATTTCCATAGAAATGGAGAGCTGGAAAAGATTATTCCATCCAAACCTTTTTTTTTTCTCTTGACATATAATAAATGGAATGTCACAAGGGCTGAATGCTCCATGCAAGATCAAACAGCTCAAATTGGCAAAGCCAGTCTCTCTACTCCTTACCATCCTGTCTTCCTGCTATGCATCTAACCAAAACTTTGAGGCAAATATTACAGGAATATTACCAGATTCAAGTCTTACCTAACTCTTCATTTGTGCTGTCATTATCAGTGGCAAACGGGAATCTCTTCTGTTCTGCAATAGACTTGGCCTGGCTCTGGGAAAAAAAAAAAAAAAACCCATACATTTTAGCTATCACAAATGAAAGAAAACTTGTATTAAAATCTGTATTTTAAAAAATTAAAATTAAGGCTACATTTGATTTAAGTGGAAGCAAGAAAATGCCACTATTGTGGGAATGTTTTACACTTTATGGCTTTCAGTAGAACCTTGATGACGAGAGGGAAACTCTTATCAGCTCCTTCTAGTTTTGCTATGCAGCTGGGAGCTTCCACACCTGGAACCTGGTAAAGCTTCAAGATGTGGCAGATTTAACAATGCGTAAGGGTGTTACTGATGATATACAGCTGGGTGTGACCAGAACATGAGCCCTTCCTCTTTGTCAAATGTTTACAGACAAGTTCACAGATGCAAAAGATTTTTCTCCTTAATAAATTGCTTAGATAGACGGGGCATGGTGGCTCACGCCTTTAATTCCAGCACTTTGGGAGACCAAGGTAGGAAGATCACTTGAGCTCCGGAATTTCGAGATCAGCCTAGGCAACACAGTGAGACTTCATCTCTACTAAAGTTCAAAAAAATTAGCTGGACATGGTGATGTACACTGATAGCCCCAGCTACTTGGTTGGGGCTGAGGCAGGAGGATGGCTTGAGCCCGGGAGGTCGAGGCTGCAGGGAGCCCTGATTGTGCCACTGTACCCCCAGCCTGGGCAAAACAGTGAGACTCTGTCTCAAAAATAAATAAATAATTGCTTAGATGGCTTGATTGTGGCAACCATTTCACAACATATATGTATATAAAATCACATTGTACATTGTAAATATATAATTTTTATTTGTCAATTACACCTCAGTGAAGCTGGGAAAAAAAGCAAGTAAATTGCTTAGAGGCAAGAAAAAGAGTCTGTAAATATTGCTTTATTTCATATTTGAGGAGAGTCTACCATTTGCCAAGCCTTTCTGCAAAAAGATATAGGGACGAGGACAGAAATGAAATTCTACAAAAAGAAGAAATCATTTACTAAGCAACCTCAAGAGTACACTGAAGAATATATCTGATTTTAAGTTGTTTGTATTCACTAGAAAGTGGGCAGGAGAAGTACAGTACAAACAAATCAAATTCTTTTTTTTTTTTTGAGACAAAGTTTCTCTCTTTTTGCCCAGGCTTGAGTGCAATGGCACGATCTCGGCTCACCACAACCTCCGCCGCCTGGGTTCAAGCGATTCTCCTGCCTCAGCCTCCCAAGTAGCTGGGATTACAGGCATGCGCCACCACCCCTGCTAATTTTGTATTTTTTAGTAGAGACGGGGTTTCTCCATGTTGGTGAGGCTGGTCTTGAACTCCTGACCTCAGGTGATCCACCCGCCTTGGCCTCCCAAAGTGCTGGGATTACAGGCGTGAGCCACTGCACCCAGCCAAACAACAAATCAAATTCTTGATGAAAAAGACCCTTTCCTATTTCTAATACTGCATCTATAGTATCTCCTCTGGACAGAGTTGAGAAGCTATGCTCAAGTAAGTTTGAACACACAGCTCAACATCACTAGTAGACTAATTTCAATCCAACTTTCTCATCCCTGCTTACACTTCAGTTCCTGAAAGCTGTATTGCCTGATACCCCTAAATAAAGGGAGTTTATGTTGACCCTTTGCTATTCCTTCATATGATGTGTACAATCACACTTTTATGTTTATTTGCATAATGATTTGGTTGATGAGTATAAAAGTCATGGTGCAGAGACCAACGCTATCTGGCTTGCTGCTGTATTCCTAACACTCACCTAGTACAATGCCTGGTACATAATGCAGAGACCAACACTATCTGGCTTATTGCTGTATTCCTAATAATCACCTAGTGCAATGCCTGGCATGTAATAGGTGCCAAATAAATATCTGGAGAATGGATCAATAAATGAATAGTCTAAGTCCCATATTTCAACCTTGGGAAGAGGAAAGGCCAAGACTAACGAGCTTTCTCCCATAGGTCACTAGCTAGCACTAGCTTAAACTGGAAATGCAACTAGTAGAACATATTTTAACTACTCTCAGTAAGAAGACTTTCATAACTCTAAGAATCTAACTGCCTATACAAGATGGGATTATCCAACTTCTACTTAAACACTTTCAGAGATGACCAACTCACTGCTTTACAAGACAGCCCCTTCTGATTTTGGGCAAGTCTAATTCGAGAGTTTTCCATATATCAAGTTGATTACTATGCAGCGAGTTAGGTAAAAGCAGACGATCATTCTCTAGTTTGCAGTTTCAATCCATCTTCAGTAGTTCTCACATGAAAAGGCAAGGCTTTGTTTGAAAAAAAAAAAAAAGAGTATCTTAAAAGGAAATTTTAAACCGAAGATGCAAAGAGTATCTATGCAGATGTTGAAGGAAAAGGCCTGGAGAAAAAATACATTAAACTTGGACACGGAAAGAACAATCAGCTTCATAGAGTTAAGTGTGAACAAAAAGAAGACCCATCCCTCTTGAGGCAGCCAGGCTGGAGGAGGAGATGCACTAACATGGATAGGCAGACGCAAACATTAGCTACTGTCAAGTATTCACCCCTGAAATGGAGAGGTCCACGGTATAGTTTAGTTGGTACTGATAGAAAACATAGATACAAAAGATACCCACATATGCAAAGGTTGGAAAAATAAGAGTCTACTATACCTACAAATACACAAGGCTGCTAGAAATAAGGTTTAACTATAATGTCCCTTTATTTCTTGACACTTGCAAATTAAAAGTTCTATGTCCAGAATAATCAACCATCCAATTCATAAGTCATAATTCAATGTGGCAAAATACCAGACGACCTATCTTTATCCTATGCATGTAGACTCAACGAGGCCCAACTTCTAGTTGACAGAGGCGACTTCCACTTTTTGGAACTAGTATCACTGGGCTTCAGGTTACAAAAACAGAACACAGAGAGAAGATGCATACCAGAATCTTCTCAGTGTTGAGGGAAAGCAAGGAGTCACAGGGTGATGATCCCTTGGGTTCGCAGTCTGAGTCATGGAAGTTCAAAAAGGATGACTCTGAAAGGCAAGCATTCTTTGTTATTCTCTACACCTTAATTTATGCTCTTAGGTGCTTAACTATGAATTAGAATTTTTAGACTCCACAGAACCAAAATAAGAACAGGTGTGAATAACACTAAAAGTGGCAACCAGCTGGGCACAGTGCCTCACACCTGTAATCCCAGCAACTCAGGAGGCTCGCTTGAGGCAAGGAGTTCAAGACCAGCCTGGGCAACAGCAAACCAACCAGGCTGGGTCTCAAACAGTGAGACCCTGTCTCTAGAAAACAAAAAATAGAAGTAGCAACCTGTATCCTACCTTTATAATAGGGTAATGTTTTACGGTTTGCAAGTATCTTGCACAACCATTAGTGATGTTCCTCACCACCATTCTCAAATGAGCAAAGCCAGTGAGCTTCCTGGATGGTTAAATGAGGTTTAAATAGGTTGTAACTTATCTAAAGGCAACAGGGTAGAAAGAGTACTAGTACAATGCTTGTCTCAGGACACATGTGGAACTAATATTGTTGTTGAGATCCTTCAGTCGAACAATCTATGGGGCAGCATTTACCATAGATTAAAAAAAATCACAAAAGGAGAATAAGCCAAACCAGTGAGACTTAAATGTTAAAAGATACACCCTAGGCCAGGCGTGGTGGCTCACACCTGTAATCCCAGCACTTTGGGAGGTCAAGGTGGGCGGATCACCTAAGGTCACGAGTTCGAGACCAGCCTGGCCAACATGGCAAAACCCTGTGTCTACTAAAATACAAAAATTAGCCAGGCGTGGTGGCAGGTGCCTGTAATCCCAGCTACTTGGGAGGCTGAGGCAGGAGAATCGCTTGAACCCGGGAGGCAGAGGTTGCCGTGAGCCGAGACTGTGCCATTGCACTCCAGCCTGGGCAACAAGAGCAAAACTCTGACTCAAAAAAAAAAAAATGATACACACTATGAGTCCAGTATGCAAAATATATAAATAGCTCTTACAACCCAACTAAAACAACACAATTTTAAAAACAGGCAAAGGACCTGTATAGGCATTGAGCACATGAAAAGTTGCTCAACATCATTACTAATTACTACTTAGGGAAATGTAAATCAAACCACAATAAGGTACCTCTTCACACACACACACTAGGATGGCTATAACCAAAAAGCAGAAAACAACAAGCAGTAGCAAGAATGTAGAAAAATTGGAACCCTTGTGCATTGCTGGTGGGAGTGTAAAATGGTACACCAGTTATGGAAAATAGTTCCTTAAAAAGCGAATCAGAATTTCCATATGATGCAGCAATTCTTCTCCTAGGTATATACCCCCAAAATTGAAAAGGGACTCAAACAAGTATTGTATATACATGTTCATAGTAGCGCTAATCACAGTAGCCAAAAGGGAGAAATGGTCCAAGTGTCCATCAACAGATGAATGAATAAACAAATTTTGGTGTATACAGAGTAGAATACTATTCGACCATAAAAAAATGAACTACTGATACACACTGCAACGTGGAAGAACTTCCAAAACATTATGCTAAATGGAAGAAGCCAGACACAAAGGGTCACTTATCATATGACTCCATCTATATGAAATGTCCAGAATAGGTGAATCCATAGAGACAAAATGCAGATTGGTGATTGCCGGGGATAGGGGAAGGAGGGACTAGGGAGAAACTGCTTAATGAGTAAGGGGTTTTATTTTGGAGTGTTGAAAACAACTTGGGGTGGTTGCACATGGTGAATGCCACTGAACTGTTTGCTCTAAAATGGTTAATTTTATATTAAAACATTTCACCTTGATAGATTATTGCAAAAAAAGATATGTTCTAATTCAGCAGTCATTAAAGAGCATTAAATTATGTTCAAGGAACCATCTGAGGGAGAGAATAAATTATAATATCAAAATCAGTCTGTGTCCTCAAAGAACATATAATTTAGCTAAATTCTCACGTGTTGTATATCTTAACAATAAGAAACAAGACATGATATGGTGAAGAAGCCCTGGGGTGGTGAACCATTACTGAAGCTGCAATGTTAAATTTCACAAGGCATAAGCAGGGTTTAAAAGAATGGATGGAGGCTGGGTGCGGTGACTCACACCTGCAATCCCAGGACTTTGGGAGGCTGAGGCAGGCCAATCCCTTGAGCCCAGGAGTTTGAGACCAACCTGGGCATCGTGGCAAAACACCATCTCTACAAAAGAAAAAATTAGCTGGGTGTGGTAGTACATGCCTGTAGTCCCAGCTACCCAGAGGCTAAGGTGGGAAGATCACCTGAGTCCAGGAGGTGGAAGCTGCAGTGAACCATGATCATACCACTGCACTCCAGTCTGGATGACAGAGTAAGACCCTGTCTCAAAATAAATAAATAAATAAATAAATAAATAAATAAATAAAAGAAAAAAGAATGGATGGATTTAGACTGGGGCAGAGAAAGGGAAGGGGTATTCCGGATAGGACGATGAGTGGTACACGCAAAGGTACAAAGGCAAGGAAATGCAAAGGGCAGCGAGGAGACTCCTACTCCCTGGCTAGAGCAGGGAGTTTGTGTTGGAAAAGAAAAAGTATGAGTTTGGAAGGTGAGGAGTCAGACTGCAGAAAGTCTGATCTGAACCCCAACGAAAGGCTTTAGTCCCACAAAAATGAAGATAGTAATGGTTCCTGGCAGATGGTTGGAGAATAATGACTCAATGAAAGATATTTTGGAAACATACACATTTATAACCTGTTTCTCCTGCCTTTTCTAAGCTAAGATTTGAGAACTTACTATATGCCAGGCACTGTGCTAAGCAATGTGTATACCTGGCCTTATTCTAACAATCCCTCTCCTTTGTGGAATCCATTTCAGTTTCAATAAATATACACCTACATAATTTTAAAAGGCTGCACTTAACCATACTTTTATCACTGGATACTTAGGATGTCCCTACTTTTTTCTTAATACGAACAGTATTTCAGTAAGTATTCTTGACCTATATTTTTGAAAATGTACCCACTTACAATAGATTCCAACAAATAAAATTGCCAAGTCAAAGGGTGTGCACAAGTTTAATATTTTTCATATATATTGCCCCAATTTCCTTCCTAGCATATAATAACAATTTCATTCCTACTAGAAGTTTGAGAAGGTCCATTTCCCTCCAGAGTACTGACATTCTTTTTAATCTTTCCCAATCTGAACATACCACTAATAAAGTTAAACTTTTGGTTTATTGGCCATTTGTATCTCCACTTTTGTAAATCACTTATATCCTTTGCTCATTTTTAAGTCATCTAAACCTATCCTTGCAAAAGATATTGAAAAAAATTCCTAATTATCTATTTTCCAAATGGTTAGCCAGTTGTCCCAGCACCACTTGTTAAATTATCAATTTGAATGCCACCTTTATAATACATTATAGACATTAGGATCTGTTTCTATACTTGCTTTTAAAGGAAATCTTTAAGATTATTTAAATCCAGCTATAGTAACCAAAACAGCATGGTACTGGCATAAAAACAGACACACAGACTAATGGAACAAAATAGAGAACCCAGAAACAAATCTACACGCCTACAGTGAACTCATTTTTGACAAAGGTGCCAAGAATACACACTGGGGAAGGCAGTCTTTTCAATAAATGGTGCTGGGAAAACTGAATATCCATATGCAAAAGAATGAAACTAGACTCCTATCCCTCACCATATACAAAATGAAATCTAAATGGATTAAAGACTTAAATCCAAGAACTCAAACTATGAAACTACTACAAGAAAACGTTGGGGAAGCTCTCCATGATATTCATCTGGGCAAAGATCTCTTGAGTAACACCCACAAACACAGGCAACCAAAGCAAACAAGGACAAATGGGATCATGTCAAGTTGAAAAGCTTCCCCACAGCAAAAGATACAAGCAACAAAGTGAAGAGACAACCCACAGAATCAGATAAAATATTTGCAAACTACCCCTCTGACAAGCGATTAGTAACCAGAATATATAAGGAGCACAAACAACTGTATTGGAAAAAATCTAATAATCCAACCAAAAAATGGGGAAAGATTTGAATAGACATTTCTTAAGACATACAAAAGGCCAACAGGCATATGAAAAGGTGGTCAACATCATTGATCATCAAAAAGTGCAAATCAAAACTACAATGAGATATCATCTCACCCCAGTTAAAATGGTGTATATGCAAAAGACAGATAATAACAAATGCTGGTGAGGATATGGAGAAAGGGGAACACTTGTACACTGCAGTGGGAATGTAAATTAGCAGAACCACGATAGAGAACAGTTTGGAGGTTCCTCAAAAAACTAAAAATTGAGCTACCATATGATCCAGCAATCCCACTGCTGGGTACATACCCAAAAGACAGGAAATCAGTATATGGAAGAGATATCTGCAATCCAATATTTGCTGCAGCAGTGTTTACAATAGCTCACTCTGACACCCAGACTAGAGTGCAGTGGCACGATCTCGGCTAACTGCAGCATTGACCTCAGCATCCCTAGTAGCTGGGAACACAGGCATGCACCACCACACCTGGCTAATTTTTCATTTTTATTTTTTGTGGAGACAGGGTCCCACTGTGTTGCCCAGAATGGTCTCGAACACCTGGGCTCAAGCAATCCTCTCGCCTCAACCTCCCAAAGTACTGGGATTACAGGCATGAATCACTGCACCTGACTTAAATTTTCTCCTAATTACTTAAACTTGGTAGGATTATATATCACTTTTCATTTAATATTTTTAAAATAAATTTTTAGTTTTCTATAAGAAACTTTTGTTTCCACACTTTCTAATCCCTTATAATGATCTGTTTGTTTTGATTTCAGTATCACATTGTTTCAATTATTGTAGCTTCACAATAAATAAATGTTTTTTGGTTTTTATTATTTTAAATTGATACAGAATAATTGTACATATGGGGTAGAGGGTGATATTTTGATTCACAATACATACATTTTAATATAAAACAAAGCCATTATCAATTTTATTCCAAAACTTTCTTGGCTATTTGTATAAACATTCTTTCTTCAGATAAACTTCAGTCAGTTTTTTAAGTTCCAAAACAAAAAAATCTCTCTATGATTTGTGTTAGGATGGCATTAAAATTGTAGATTAATAGGAGAAGAAATACTTCTTTATAAAATTTGATCTCTTTATTTAAATATTTTATTAAACTATGTGAAACTTCATAAATTTTATATAGGATTTACATGTGATTTTTTAAATTGGGTTGATAACCATTGATTCAATACATATTTGTTGAGCATCTACTATGTTCCCATCACTGTGTTAGCCTCTACTGAGCAAAACCAGAAATGACCCTTCTTCTACAAAGACATTATAGTTCCCTGTGGGAAAACTGATAGCAATCAAAGTACACAAAGAAACATAAACCAACAACAGTGTGAGAGCTACACATGACAGCACAGTCAGAAGATATGGCCTGGTCAGTTTCCCGAGGACGTGAATAACACCAGCTAACACATAGTTACCGTGTACAGGCAACCTTAGAATCCCCATTTCAAAGATGAGGAAAATGAGCCCGAGGAACCTGCAGTAATCATCCTGACGCTACCCTCTAGCAAAGCAGTGGAGGGAGGATCTGAACCTAGGCAGTCTGGTTCTGGAGTCTGTGCTCTTAGCCATGAATAAGTGAATGGGGACCTGAGGGAAATTATGGATTTCACCATGGGAGGCTATGGCACCGGGAGAGCAGTCAGGCAGAAATACCAGCACATGGTAAATCCTTTGTCCAACTGCCTAGTGCTGAATATTTTATCTGCCCACATTACTGAACTCTTTACAGCCCTATTAATGTCTCCATTTAGTCAGCTGGTAACTGTATTATCTGCACGTAATTTTATCAAGGTCTTTTAAAATATTTATATTAATTTAGCACCTTATTATACTAGATGAAACTTCCAAAAAGTACTCAATAACGCCACTGATTAACAGGCACCCCTGCTTATTCCTGACATTAATACTTCATTTAATAACTGAGATTTCATCAACTTTTGATGATAAAACTTTTTCACCTAACATTTATCAACATCCAGTGGAAAGCTGCTCTGTGTCAGCTATGGGTTGAGACTGATGTACTTCACCATATAAAAGAAGTATTTTCCTATTCTATTTTTTTTTTTACCAGAAACTTTAAATCAGGAGAGCTTGCTGACCTTTATCAAGCACTTTTGAAATTTATTTAAGATGTTTCTATGATTTTTCTCCTTTGGCCTATTAACAAACTAATTTAATTTTTTCAAGTTGAACCATCTGTGTACTTCTAAAACAAACTCTGATTGAGGTAGATCATTCTTTTAATTGCTTGCTAATATTTTACTTAAAATTTTTATAACTATGTATGTATCTTCTAAGGTTGCAATAGAAAAATAGTTGCTAGAGTTATAACTATAGTTGTGTGGAACAGGAGGTTAAATTTGTTCTTCGATCTTAAAATATTTAACTCACTATGGCTTTAATTACTTTACTATCATAAATGATTATATTAAAGGATAACTACTTAATATAATAAATAATTACAGCCCAACCAGCTGTACATAAATAGTATAAATTTCCTTGGATAGGAAAAGCATTAGTTTTCTTCCTTGCTTACGTCGTACAAGTAAAGTTAGTGCTGATTACTATAGAAACTGTGTGAAAACGCATCACAGAATTCTATCTTGTTCTTCTACATCATCTCTGGACATTTCTTCACTGCTTCAGAGTTTAATGTCTTAGCAGAGATTTCTGCACAGTTGCCTCTTAAGTTCTCATGGCCTCTGGAGCTCTGCGCATGCCTCTCATTCACAACTGACACTTGCACCTGCTCCCTCTTTCTGTAGTCACCTCATCAGGCTTATCTATTTTATTCTTCTTTTTTTTATCACTTAAGAATTTGTTTTCCTATGGTGGTGGGGGGGGGGCCTTTTTGTTTTATTGTGGTTAAAAAAAAAACACACATCACATAAAAGCAATCGCCTTAGCCATTTTTAGTTTGTATGGTTCAGTAGTATTAGGTATATGCACACTGACCTCCAGAACTTCTTAATCATTCTTTTTTTAAAAAAACAACCCGGGTCTATTTCTCAATTCCACTGCTGCTTTATTTCTAATTCATTTATACCAGCTTTGCTGTATTAGGCCTTCTAATTTCCCTTATTACCTCTTCTCGCAGCTCAAGTTCAGCATCTAGTTCATTTATTCCCTTTCTTCTTAGCATTAAACTAAGAAGGCAGGATGAGTTTAAGCAGGAGGCGACATCACTAACAGGTGTCTAAGGAGAGAAGGGGCAAGTAGAGCAGGGGGCAGGTGGGAGGCCATGGCCAGTTAAAATGAGCAAAGTCTGAATGGAGGCAGCAGCCATCGGGTTGAAATAGAGGGTCACGGTCTAAAGGATACAGCAAGTAAAAAGGAGAGGGCCTTGAGGAAGAATTAGGCACAGAAAGAGGGAAAAGACACAGGTTTCCAGTTTGTGCAATGAGGGAAGAAGTGGTGCCATCAACGGAAACAAGGAGTTTAAGAGGAAGAGAGGTTTTAGAGGGAAGTCAAGAGCTAACTTTGGGCTTGAGTCAAGTGATTACGCTGGAAGCTCTCTAGCATGTAGTTAAGAAAGTCCAGAGAAAGGTAAATACTACAGATATGGATGTGATGATTTGATAATCATTAACTTATGGTGGATGATAAGCTGAGACTGTAAGTACAGTCTCTAAGAAAGCTTAGGGGGCTGGGTGCGGTGGCTCACGCCTGTAATCCCAGCACTTTGGGAGGCTGAGGTGGGCGGATCACGAGGTCAGGAGATCGAGACCACGGTGAAACCCCGTCTCTACTAAAAATACAAAAACCTAGCCGGGTGCAGTGGCAGGCGCCTGTAGTCCCAGCTATCCGAGAGGCTGAGGCAGGAGAATGGCGTGAACCTGGGAGGCGAAGCTTGCAGTGAGCCGAGATTGCGCCACTGCACTCCAGCCTGGGTGACAAAGCGACACTCCATCTCAAAAAAAGAAAAGAAAAGAAAAGAAAAAGAAAGCTTAAGAAGCTTACGTTTAATAAGAGAAGAGTTGACCTGGTGAAGATGAGTATTTAAGAGATAGTGGGAGAATCAACTTAGCAATTTATCTTTTGTTAAAAGAACTATCCATTTCTTTGAAAGGTTCTACATCTGGGCCATAAAGCTGGATACAGTTATTATAATGATTTTCATATTTATTATACTTGCTTATTCCTCAAGCCAAATACTTGTTTCTGCTCATTTTTCTTGATTAGGCTTGCTAGATAACTGTCTAATCTTAAGCAGTATTTTCAAAGAACTAGGTCTTATATTTAATTCTAGTATTTCTCTGACTTCAAACTTAATTAATTAGTTTGAAGGCAATGTAACAGTGGCTCAGGGCAGGGCTATGGAGTCAGACTAACCCAGATTAGATGCTTCCCTGACTGTTTGACTTAGAGCAAGTCCTTTAGTACGTCTTAGCCTCAGCTCCTTCATCTGCAAAATAGAAATAACCACCCCCAGATACCTTCACAGGGCTACTGTGAAGAATAAAGGGTATAAAGCCCTGTGCACAGAAAAGGATTGTTAAATGTTAGTATAGGCTTATAGGCTAAAATCGCAGTGTTTTTTTGTTAAATTTTTCTATCTGCTTTCTTTAAGCTTATCTTGGCCTTCACAGTACTTCCCAGCTTCCAAATACCTTCATAAACCTCATTTCTTTTGATTCTCCATCCTCCAAGGTAGATACAAGGCACACTGTGCCCACTGTACACATGGGGAAATAAACTCAATGTTAATGAACATGTTTAAGGTCACAAAACAAAGACATAGCACAGCCGGGTCTTGCCACAGCAATGAAGAACATGGTACATTTGTCACAACTCCTTCTGCCAATGCTGGGTCCTAGTAATGAACAGTTTAGGTATAGCAGTGTCTTGAAACTTCTTTCCTCTCCTCCTAAACCTCACACACAACTGACCTTAAGAAGAGCAGTTTCAGCACATTGACGAGGACAAAAGCTAACCATAGAAGGTCCAAGAGAGAGTGGAGTGGTGGAGGCAGTCCATATGAACATCTCCTTTGAGGAATTCTGCTGTAAAAGGAGGCAGAGGGATGGGGCAGTGGCTGGAGGGGTGTGTGGTCATCTTAGTTGCTTGTATTTTCAGGATGGTAGTTTTATTAAGACCATCTGTATGCTGACGGAAGACAAGAGGAAATGAGAGCCAGTGAACAGAGAGCTGAACTAGGCAGAGGCACCGGCCACTCATCCACCACAACAGGACAGAAGGCAAAATCTACCAGTCCATCTGCGGGCAGGCCAGTAGCTGGGGTGGTGGGGAGCAAGGAAGTTGTTTTCTCACTGCTTCTTAGTCAAATAAGATGACAGTCGTCACCTCCAAGGAAGGAGAGAAGGTGGCATTGGCAGTAGCATGTATTTCTCACACATCCATGTGTGTGAGAAAACTGACTGAAAGCTTATAAGTGGCAAACCCATGGCCAATTTATAAGGAAATCAACAGCTGCTGGGTAGCACTTATCACTCGACCACCTAGTTATAACAGACAGCACACTGAGCTACTTGAAAATAAGGATGACTGGGCTTTTCCCTTGGATGAGCTACAACTTAAAAGTAGAGTGCCAGATATTTATTGACAATCCTAACCCCAGGTATAGGGTAAACCTGCGAAGAGAAGACAGAATTCTTGTGGCTGAAAGAACTACCTGAAGGCCAGGTGGCTGTGTGGTATCAACTTGTAGTGCCTTTTGCTTTTATCAATTTCTGCACTTATAAGACAACCACAGGTGGCCAGGCGCGGTGGCTCATGCCTATAATGCCAGCACTTTGGGAGGCCGAGGCAGGCGGATCACGAGGTCAGGAGATCGAGACCATCCTGGCTAACATGGTGGAACCCTGTCTCTATTAAAAATACAAAAAAATTAGCCGGGCGTGGTGGCGGGCGCCTGTAGTCCCAGCTACTCGGGAGGCTGAGGCAGGAGAATGGCATGGACCCAGGAGGCAGAGCTTGCAGTGAGCCGAGATTGCACCACTGCACTCCAGCCTGGGCAACAGAGCAAGACTCCATCTCAAAAAAAAAAAAAAAAAAAAAGACAACCACAGTTGACATCATATACTGCATTGCTCAATGGCCCCGAAATATGGTCCCAAGTGGTAAATTCCTTTGAGAGTGTAATAACAGGAAAAATGCTCTGAAGAATTTATATGCTTCATTTAATGAAATGAAATATTCATCGGTACCTGAGATGTATTATCGTAAAGCAAATTGAAAATAGACACTGCCTGCTGATTATTAAATTATAAAGTAAACATATAATTAATCCATAGGAACTAAGGATCCACAAAAGCCATCTTAAAGAGACAGAAGTTTTTTGTTTTTTAACAAAGCTTGAATGTAATAGGATCAAAGGTATCTTAACCCACATACAAATATAAACATATGTAAAGAATCAAAAGAAAAGGAATTCACTGCACGGGATGGAAAAACAGGCACAGTAGCAAATTACATGGAACAGAACAGAAGAAGGATGCCTTAACCAACAAAACAGGCCTTCCCCACAAAGGCCAGTTACTTAGCATAAGGTTATAAACTAGATTGAAGATGCATCAGATGCTCAAAGTGACACATACTTTTAAGAGCTAAAAGCTTTCTCATAAGCCCACACATACTGGCAGACAACATCAACTCCACAGGGAATGCTGAAACAGAGCTAGGCACTGACATGAAAAGATTAGTGACAAGGGAACACAGAGTCACTGAGAACATTGCAAACACCAGCAGGGAAGAGTTGCAAGAGAAGACAACTGGTCTTCTTGTGCAGAGGTGGTCCTGAGATGCACCAACTGATTCCTAAGTGAGAGTCTATGGAAAGAATGCCAGCACATGTGCAGTGTAAGTCCACTGCATGGTGCTGGACTCTAAATCAGACAAAACATTTCCCAAATGAAACTAGGGTTAGCATGGAATGAGACTATCGGCAATCTTAAAAACAGACAGCTATTGATTTCGGTTCTTTCTGATTACATCAGTTGTTCAGCTTATGAAAACGTATTGAGCTATCTACACTTAGGACATATGCACTCTCCTGTATATATGTTGTATTTTGATAAAAAAGTAAAACCAAAACATAAGAAAAGGAATATGCTGGAAAGCATTCACCCAAAGTATTAAAATTCTGCCGCTTTGATAAATTATTTATTCTATCTGCAAGATAAGATGAGCCCAAACAAAATGACCTCTTTAAAACAACTCATTGTGAAAGGGAGAAGGTTTAAAAGTCAGTCAAGTATATATTGAGTGCAGTGAAGCTAAACTGTCTGTACATTGAGTGGTGCACATTGAAGAGCCTTGACTTTCCTACAGTCATGCTCCAGGTAGGTTCTAAAACCCAAGTCACACCATTTTTGCCTCCACCCAGAGATTAAAAAATAATAATTAACCCTTATCACCTGAAGTTGAACAGGTTTAGCAGTATGTAGATCTTTTAAAAGGTAGATGTAATTCTTAATGACAACAGATATACGTGAAAAAGCGAATCATAGGCTGCCATCGTCATAGGGCTTATGCTATAAAATGCTACTTCTAAACCAGAGGATTTGCTGAAAGATGCTGTTCAGTGAGCAAAAGGGAAACACCCTCTGGCAATGCCACAGGGGCCAGGATGTGGCAAGATCACAATCTCTTCATCACTCTGTGCCTCAGTCTCTGAGCACAGCGACTTTGCACTGGCAAATTTACTCAGGAATGCCTTGAAAAACAAGATATGAAGAGGTCTGCCATGAAACTATGTATGATGACAAACACAGAAAATCAGGGCCAGGAGATGAAAGGATTGACCAGATACACTCACAGTAATGGTTACCACAATTGCTATGACTGAGCACAAAATGTGGTTCTTAACTTCCTCATAGAGCAAAAAAGGAAATAGCTCTCATAAGTTTCCTTCTATTGATTCTCTACCACCTCTAGGCATAGCAGTGATCTATGTGCTGTGAGCAAAAAGACTGACTTCATGTATTTAAATGGCCAATTCCTTAATTAAGAAAGCTACCATATACATGGACAATCTCAGTGTTACCAATTTTGTCAAAAACACAGAGCTAGGTTCATAGCTACTTCCTTATTTTTCTGGCAGTTCACAATTCTCAAATTGGACAAACAGATTCTAAATGCCTTTTCCCATAAAGAACTGTGGGAAAATAGAATAAATGCAATTCTGCTTTCATTGATTTCAACAAACTAATGAAAATTAAGACATCAAGTACAGGGCTGCATCACTCAAGAGCAGTGAAAAAAGGCTGAAGGCATTGGAAAAAAAGATTCACACAAACTCACTGTTCTTGTTACTACTACATTTTCAAGGCGAGAGGAGAAAACAAAAGTATTTTTAAAACAACTTCTAGAAATGCATATGCTTGAACCATAAAATATACCTTATACTGTCTGTAAAGAGTATAAAGATATAATTTAATACATGATTTGAAAGAGATGCAGTTTAGCTTTGGTAAGAAGAGCAGAGGGGCCGGGCGTGGTGGCTCACGCCTGTAATTCCAGCACTTTGGGACGCTGAGGTGGGCAGATCACGAGGTCAGGAGTTCGAGACCAGCCTGGCCAACATGGTGAAACCCCATCTCTACTAAAAATACAAAAAATTAGTCAGGCTTGGTGGCAGGCGCCTGTAATTCCAGCTACTTGGGAGGCTGAGGCAGGAGAATCACTTGAACCTGGGAGGCAGAGGTTGCAGTGAGCCGAGATCACGCCATTGCACTCCAGCCTGGGTGACAGGGCGATACTCCATCTCAAAAAAAAAAAAAAAGAAGAGCAGAGAACCTGAATTTTTAAATCAATGAACAAGTTACAAATTTCACAAGACCTTAATGTAGCAGATCTACAGAGTGTTGAATTAAGATATTTCTAAGATCTCTCCAAATCTCACTCTATCTAAGTCTCAGCTCAAATGTCTCCTTACCAGAAGCCATCCCGGGGCACCTCTTAAAGTAGCACCTACACACTGCTCTTTATCCTCTCACACTGCTTTATTTTCAAGGCATGTATTACTGGGCCCTACTATATAGAGTCATGCGCCACATAATGATTCGGCCAATGATGGACCACGTATGTGTGAGAATGGTCCCATCAGACGGTAATACCACATTTTCACTGTACATTTTCTGTATTTAGATACACAAACACTTGTCACTATGTTACAACTGCCTACAGTATTGAGTACAGTAACATGCTACAGGTCTGTAGCCTAGAAGCAATAGGCTATACCATACAACCAAGGTGTGTAATGGGCTATTCCATCTCGGTCTAAGTACACTCTTTGATGTTTGCACCATGATGAAATCGCCTAACGACACATTTCTCAAAACATACCCTGTTGTTAAATGGTATGTAACTGTACTTATTTCTTCCCTCACCAAGACACAGGATCCACACTAGGAACTCAGTCAGCTGTGCTGCATCACCAGGGTCCAAAATACTAAGTAGCATCTAGCAGGTATACAAATAGTTTTTCAATGAAAGAACAGACCCATTCTAGTCCTGCAGTTCAAAACACTAGGTTCAGTGAAGCATCCTTGAATTTGTAGTCAAAGACAAAATTCTAATAGTGATTTAAGAATATAACTTTCAACAAAGCTTGAAGTTATAGGACTTCATCATTAATATTAGTAAGAAATTATACTAATATGCAACAATTACTGAAGATAACACACAAATGGTCAGGTCAGGTTCAAATCCTGGCTCTACTCTTTACTGTATAACCTTAACTTCTCTGTCTCAGTTTGTAAAATGGGGATTAAAAACAGCATTGGCCAGGCACGGTGTCTCACGTCTGTAATCCCAACACTTTGGGAGGCTGAGGTGGAAGTACTGCTTGAGTCCAGGAGTTTGACCAGCCTGGGCAACATAGCCAGACCTTGTCTCTACAGAAAAAAAAAAAAAATAGCTGGGCATGGTGGCACACGTCTGTGGTCCTAGCTACTTGGGAAGCTGAGGCAGGACGATGGCTTCAAACCAGGAATTTAAGGCTGCAGTGAGCTATGACAGCACCAATGAACTACCTCCTGGGCAACAGAGCAAGACCCTGTCTCTAAAAAAATAGAAAAAACAACAGCACCTACTTCAGTATCAAAAGGATTAAAAAAGATTGCAGAGTGTTTATGACAATATAACTAAAAAAGTGAGGAAAGAATTGGAAAAATACTTCTGTTCATCATTTCCTCCGACAGTTACAAATTAAAGATAGGGCTTTGGCAACAGGAAATTTACTTTTATTTTTAAAATATGTACAATACAGTGTTCATTTTTTTAAAATAATATTTTTTCTCTACAAGTAAACAAAGAGAGAAGACAAGTTTGTGGTTATATGCTTTTCAAGTAAAAAGGTAAAAATAAATAAAATATCAAAAAGGTAAAATGTAAAAATGTGGAGTAGAAAATATTAAGGGCGGATCAGGAAACATGCAAAGCTCAAGCTGAGACATATGGCACCAGAGGGACATCCATGCCTGTCACTTCTGCAGTAGATCTGGGTGGGGCTCAGCCCACTGAGCATTAGGCTGTTCCCTGGGACATGGATGCCATGTGACGGTGGTGTGCATAGCTGGGCCAGCCATTGCTAGTGTGTTGTCTTTGGATTGGTGGGCTCCCACCAGCCACTGTCCTTGTATGTACAATCACTGGCGGTTCTGTCTCAAGGGAATACATATACTGCTTGTAAGAAGGTATGCAGATTTAAATTTAGACCCAAGCAGGCATCAGCTCAGCCATTTGAACCTGAAAGCTGTGGGAAAGATTCTGAAAAGTGGTTGTGCTGCTGTGTTTGTCCTCAGTATATGTGCTGGATTGATATGAACAGGTTTGTGGCTGGACAGGCAAGCAAGAGACGATGGCATGATCAATGCTTAGTAAAGCCAAGTCTGTATGATTCTGAAGAACTGACTAGTTCTGGATCCTGACATTTGTCTAGACCCTAATGTTGCTCAAATGGGTCTCCGGATACAGAGCATCAGCTGCCCCTCAGGCTATGGCACGGTTAGTTGTAAATCCCGAATTCATCCCCACATCCTAGGACAGAGAAGAAATGAAACAGGTTTCATAGGGTCCAGCTTCTACATAGTTGTCCAGGGCGAAGAGGGAGAAATGAGAAGTATTTCAGTAGCCCCTACAACAACAGAGTTGGCTTTTGTCGCATACTGCAGCCAGGAAAGCTGAGGGAAACAGCTGGAGCTCCAAGTAGTTGATTCTGGAAATGACTTCTTGGGTGACCACAGCGGCAGCTGCCCCACTTTAGCACCTGTTGGTAGCTACTCACACAGCCAGGGGAGGTGATCTGAAAGACTCAGGTCGTTCATTTGCAACAGTAAATTTTAAATTCCAAGCTAGAAAAAATAAGTACTACATGGGAGAGAGAAAAAGAAGGTAGAAACATCTAAATAAATTATGTTTACAGCTTCATGATACAGTGTTCATCCTCCAGGGAAATATCGTAATACAAGTCAGAGCTGGCTTGAACAGGGTTCTTAAATACTGGTGGTTAGCCTGATGCCAAAGAATCAAATAAGCCACCAACATCAATGATACCAATAGATATCATAGTATTAATCGATACATACCTTCTACTGTCTAAACGCTGGGGCTCCTTTAGCCAGTGAGCACCACATGAGCAAAGGAGAAAGGGAAATTTACCCAACATGCACCATATGCAAGTAAATACTTCAGATGTGGTTTGCCTACCTACAACCACTTAATGGTTAGGACAAAGGCTTTGTCTGGAGCCCGACTTCATGGGTTCCTCCTTTGGCAGCTGTGGGATCTCAAGAAGATGACAATTTCACTATGTTTCAGTTTGTTCATCTGAGAAAATGAGCCACCATCTAATGAGGTGGTTATTGTTTTTCTGATAGACTAATATACTAGGCTCATAGACCTAAAGCACTTATAACAGCACCTGGCATACAGCAAGCACTCAATATATGTCGGCTACTTCTCATTTCCCTCACAGCACCCTCGTGAGGAAAATAAAACCCCACAATTAGGTGAACAGTGTTTTCCACTTACAGAGGAGGCATTTTACAAAGACAGGTAATTCACTTGCTCAGAGATACAGAAAGTGACAGAGGTAAGTAAATGCCATTCTTTCTCCACCGTGCAAGGCTGGCCGTGTTACTTACGCCGTTACCAGCTAAGGCCTACCGCAAAATAAAAAAGTCACAAACCTCTCAGTGAGTGACACTTCCTCAAGGAAGTCAGACTGTACTAAAAGGAAATCAGATTGTGCTAATCTTGACGTCTCATCTCAACTAAAAAAAAAAGGTATTGTTTTCCCAGGTACACAATGCCGAAGAAAACCACTGCCAAGTCTTAAAAGCAACCATCTCCCAGTGGGTTCGGTAGACCCCGGTCCTTCCCAAAGCAAGCCATAAGGGAACTCACATAGAGAAGGGGGAAAGAGAAAGGGAGGAGATTGATGGGTAAAAAGACCCACGACAGAACTTCAAAACAAAAAAATGTACACACGTATTTTGTCCCAGAGGCATCTGCTATGATTTATTAAACTGAAGCCAATAGCGCCCATTCTTAATGAATGAGCTGGCGTAGCTCCAATACACACACGGCACTGACACACAGGCTCAAGGCCTGCAGGGGCCTTTTTTCCCTCTGGGAGACACCTGACAGATCGCAGGTTGATCTTAAACAACTGGAAGCAAGATGTCAACGAGCAGATAAGATGGGCTTGCTCTTTTTTTCCATTCCAGGGATCCAATTTTTAGGAACTGTTGTATACGAGACATTAACCCGGGAGGTCAGGAAGCCTGATTTCCAGGCCTAAGATGTGCCAGGCGTCTCCCTCCGGGGGCGGGCTCCGCAAGCCGCCGGGCTGGTTGCTCGTCCGCCCGCCCCTCCCTCGCCCCTTCGGCATCCTCGGGAGGCCGGCGGCGGGAACAGGGCTGCCCCGGGCCACCTGCCATCTCCTCCGCCACCCTTCCAACAGTTGCTTCAGACTCAGGAGAGAGGCCGCCCTGGCCCCAGGAGCATGCTGTCAGCTCATTTCTCGACTCGCCGCCCTGCCCAAAGGCGGCTGCAGGAGGGCGCGCGGCGGCGTGGGTGGCAGCGGCGGGAAGCTGCCCGCCAGGACCCCTGGCCGAGCCGGCTCCCGCGGATCGCGCGCCGCAGCCGGAGGCGTGAGGCCCGGGCGACCCGTACCCCGGCCCGGGACCCCAGCCCCGCTGCCCCGCCGCCCCGGCCGACTCGGACGCCCGCCGCCGCCCACTCACCGCCGCACTCGGCAGAGTACTGGTCCCCCCAGTCCCCGGACTGCGGGCTGCAGCCGCCGCCGCCCGCCGGGGCCTCCTGCTGCTGCCGGTGCTGCAGCTCCTGCTTGAGCAGGGAGAGCGGCGAGTAGTGCTCGGTGGCCAGGGCGCCTGGCCGCAGCCCGGCGGACAGGACCCCCAGCAGCAGCAGCAGCAGGACACGCCGGGCGGCGCCCGCGGCGGCCACAGCGCCGCCCCAGAAGCAGCAGCAGCAGCAGCAGCCGGCAGGTGCCATCTTCCCTCAAGGCGCATGCGCGACAGCCCTTGCCCGGCTCTCAGGCCTCCCCGCCTCTAACCTACGGCGGGCAGGTGGACCGTGGCAAGGGGGCGGGACAAGGGGAGAAGCATTGTGTGCTGGGAATGGTAGTCCCAGCTCGGCCAGCCCGGGGCCGCCTTGCCGGTGCCGGGACTACGAATCCCAATAAGCCCGCGCGGCGCAAGTCTTCCGGTCTGGCGTCTGACGTCTTACCCTCCACAGAATCGGAAGTTCTGGACTGCAGTTGAGTGGAAATGGGCAACGGCGGGCGGAGCGGCCTGCAGCAGGGGAAGGGGAACGTGGATGGGGTGGCAGCGACTCCTACTGCTGCCTCGGCCTCCTGCCAGTACAGGTGCATCGAATGCAACCAGGAGGCCAAAGAGTTGTACCGAGACTATAACCACGGTGTGCTGAAGATAACCATCTGTGTGAGTTGTCAGGTGTGGGGTGCCCTTGAGAAGAAAATGGCGCGGCGGGATTTGGGGACCGCGAGGAGCAGGGTCCTCTGATACAGTCTTTAGTTCGGTAGTTGACATTCCCGCCCGGGATCTTTGCATGAATATCTGTACTGATAGAGAACTCAGCTACCCGACAGCGCTTTTCTCATACTGGGGCATATTTGGGTGATATGACCTAAGCCGGCGAACGGACCGGACCGACAGACAGAGGTAGATGTGGGCATTTTGCAGAGAAATTTAAAGATCAATTAGGTTGACATTTTGGTTCATGCCAAAGCTACTTCCTTCTAGCTCTTCTCCCTTTGACAGAGAGATGGTACCATCCTTACCCTCCACAACCCATGTTGAATTCACCTACGATGCTTTTTAAAGGTTTCATCAATTGTCGTTATTGGATGTCTACGGTGTACAAAGCACTATGCTAGACGTTGGTGGTACAAAACCCAAAAGTGAGGAAGTAAAAATTCTCATTTCAAGGTGTTCGTAGAATACCTTGAACTTTCTGATGATTTTCCATCTCAGAGTTAAGGCCCGAATCCCTGAACTGGCTTATAAGGCCCTATGGAGTCTCCTGCTACTCTTTCCCTTCTTTATTTTACGGCAGAGAGAATAATCTTATGTTTAAAGAGTCTACAAAGTTGGAGGTTCTTTGGGGGTATTAATTAGCAAAGAACCTGTCACAGAATAGACAGTACATTTTTGTCCCATTTCAGATCTTGTGATTTTCTAATCTCTTTAGTAAATTATGGTCTGTAGTAATATACAAGAGAATTGACAAACTGAGTGTATACCTGTATAATCTGCCAACCACATAACGTTCTGATGCATACAACCTCAATTTCCTGTTCCTCTCTCAAGTACTTTCCCTCTTTTGTCAAAATGTCAACCCTTGTTAAATCCAACATATTGCCTGGTCTTGTCCCTGTACCCATGCAGCAGTACGTTGCTGGGGAAAAACAAATTTGTGACGATTAACCTCATATAGGCCTTTCATGATTTCTGGCAATCTTATTTCGGTTTTTTTTTTCTTTCTTTCTTTCTTTTTGAGATAGAGTTTCCCTCTGTCACCCAGGCTGGAGTGCAGTGGGGCACTCTCAGCTCACTAAAACCTCTGCCTCCCAAGTTCAAGCAATTCTCCTGCCTCAGCCTCCCAAGTAGCTGGGATTACAGGCCTGCACCACCACGCCGGGCTAATTTTTGTATTTTTAGTAGAGACCAGGTTTCACCATGTTGACCAGGCTGGTCTTGAACTGACCTCAAATGATCCACCCACCTCGGCCTCCCAAAGTGCTGGGGTTACAGGCATGAGCCACTGCGAAAACAGAAGAGAACTTCCACCAGGTTTGCAACAACATAAACCCAATACTAGCATTTGTTAT
Source organism: Homo sapiens (assembly GCF_000001405.40). Classification (NCBI taxonomy): domain Eukaryota; kingdom Metazoa; phylum Chordata; class Mammalia; order Primates; family Hominidae; genus Homo; species Homo sapiens. The sequence continues at coordinate 230,980,689 of NC_000001.11, forward strand.
TTCTTTACTGTACTGTCTTCTTCTGCCTTCTGCTGGATCATTCCCACCAGCATGCATACTGTTACTTCTTCCATCAAAAAAAAAAAAAAAACCAACACCACCAACAAAATACACTTGCTGCCACTTCCCCCTTTAGCTTCTGCTCTTTTTCTTCTTAATTAGAAAGCAGACCTTCTAAGATATGTTTGTACTGTCTATTTCCTTTCCTAGTTTCTCTTGAACCTGCTTTAGTCACATTCCCACCCGCATTTCATTAGAAACTGTTCTTGTTAAGATCACCACTTCCACTTTGCTAAATCCAGTAGTCGATTCTCAGTTAATGATCAGCAGCATTTTACCTCATTACTTCCTCCTCCTTGAAATGCTGTGTGCGCTTCCCAGGATTCAGTGCTCTTCTTATTGTCTTCTTACTTCACTGGCTGTTACCCCTCAATCTCCTTTCTGCTTTTGCTTCACCTCCCTTACCTCTTAATCATGGTGTATTCCAACGCATAGTCATCGTGCCTCTTTCTGTCTGCATGCTTTCCCTTGAAGAGCTCATTCTGTCTCATGGCTTTAAATACCGTCAAAATTTTGACAATTTCCAAATTTATATTTCTACCCTGAACCTCTTCCCTGAACTCCAGACTTAAATGTCCAACTACCTACTTGACTTCTCCACTTGGATTTCAATAGACAGCTCAAATATACCCATCACAGTTAATGGCAACTTTACCATTTTAACTCCTAAGACCAAGAAACCTTGGTGTCATCCCTATTTCTACTCTTCCTCTCACATCCCATATTCAGGTATTCAGCAAATCCTGTTCTGTCTTCAAATTATGTTCAGAATCCACTACTTCTCACTACTCCTGCTGCTACAATCCTCATCCAAGCCACCATGATGTCTACCTGAACTATTGTTGTAACTCCTATCTGGTCTCCCTACATCATCCTTGTACCTCTTCAGTCTTCTCTCCACACAGTAGCCAGGGACTGATCCTTTAAAAATGTAATTTAGATCATATCATCTCTTTGACCAAAACTTTCTGATGATTTTCCATCTCAGAGTTAAGGCCTGAATCCCTGAACTGGCTTATAAGGCCCTATGGAGTCTCCTGCTACTCTTTCCCTTCTTTATTTTACCGGCAGTCCCGCTGGCATCCTGGTGTTTCTCAGACCAGGCAGGTTCCTTCCTCAAGGCCTTTGCACAATGCCTGGAGCACTCTTCTATCAGGTATCTGCGTGACTAATTCCCTTACCTCCTTCAAACATCTCAGAGAGTCTACTCTGACTACCCTATTGAAAAGTATGATATGCTTCCCAGCTTTATCTTTCTCTATAGCACCTATCTTCTTGTAATCTTGTATATAATTGACTTAATGTTGTGTGTCTTCTCCTACTGGAAAGTAAGCTACACAAGGACAGACATTCTCTCTGTTTTATTCATTAATGTAGCTGTATCACCCAGAACAGCGACTGACATTTAGTAGCCACTCAGTAAATGTCTGTTGAATAAATGTATCACTTCCAGGTTTTTAGATTAGCATATGCTTGGCCATCCAGGTAGGAGGAAGAGAACAAGATCTTATATGTGGTCTAAACTTAATAACTTTTGGACTGGTCCAATTAAATGGTCAGTTTGGAAGATGATAACCACATAACTGAATATGGTCTGAAGAAAAGCTGGTATTTGTATATGCATTTTAGTTAGTAGTCTTCAATAATACAAAAAATCTCTTTTTGTTGGCATTAAGCTAACAAAATCCCTTTGCTAAACAGCAGGTGTTTATTTTGTTTATGGAAAGGCAAAATAATTATTGGATAGCTGTTTAGGTCAACATTCACTTACCCCCTCCCCTTTGTTCCCTAACATGATACTCTTTCTCCCAAGAGATGGACTTTGGAGTTATATTTGGAATATTGAATGGTGGCACAGTACTTTATGGATTCGTTATTGTCCACAGTCATTCCATAATGAGACAGAGTGTCTAATGGCCTTGTCGCTATCATGCTAATGCATACTAAACTTTAGGCCATAATAGCACGACTCAGGGAAAATCATTTTGTTGATGCCAGACTAAAAAATTAAACCATGAAGCAATGAATTATTTTAAAGGCCCTCCAACCTCTGAGATACAAAAAGTAAGAAGTTTTTAAACATTAGACCATGTGTTGTGACATAATCTCCAGAGTTTCTAAGTGGTTACTCATATATACTTTGGTCTCTTCCCTGCCGAACTTGGAGTCAGCAAGATCCTCAGCCTGATCGCCCACGTGTATTTTTCATCCCAATCTCCTTTCCTTTTGCTCTGCTTGTTTCTTCACTGCCATTCCTCCCAGCTTGCCTTTCTGTGTTTCTCTGACTTTCCTCTAATATATCATGTGTCCCTTGCTTTTAACCAATCCTGCTGCTTCAGCTCTTCACAATTTATTATAAGTACGCTTAAAGATACAGTACTTTCGGCCTAGCACGGTGGCTCATGCCTGTAATCCCAGTACTTTGGGAGGCCAAGGCAGGCGGAGCACGAGGTCAGGAGTTCAAGACCAGCCTGACCAACACGGTGAAACCCCATCTCTCTAAAAATACAAAAATTAGCCAGGCGTGGTGGCGCACTCTTGTAATCCCAGCTACTCGGGAGGCTGAGGCAGGAGAATCTCTTGAACCCGGGAGGCAGAGGTTGCAGTGAAGCTGAGATTGCGCCACTGCACTCCAGCCTGGATGACAGAGTGAGACTCCGTCTCAAAAAAAAAAAAAAAAAGTACTTTTTATTTGCTATAGGGCTTGGCTTATTTTAAGTGCACAGATATTTAACAAATTCATTATTATGTTAACAAAACAAAACTCCTATAAGAGTCTCCTAAGTTTCCATTTCCTTCAGCACTACAGCATTCGGCTCCCACCCTTGGGATCCTAGATGCAAAGATGAATAAGACACAGCCCTACCCTTGAGGAGCTTAAAGACTTAAAGAAGGGAAGGGAATGCTCCTAGAGATGACAGGAAGGAAACAGCAGGAATATTTATGAAAAAAATTGGTTTGGCCGATTTATATTCTAAAAGAGATCTGATTCATTAGGCATTGGAGAACACAGCAGGACAGAGGAAGTCATATCCATGTTTAGACAGGTGATGGAAGCAGCCTGAATTCCCAGAGTATGCTTGGTCCTTGCGTTGTAGGGATTCTTTAGAGGAAGATTTTTCTCTTTTCAGGATACTTGCCTATAAAGTAGTAAATGAAACAATTTTGCCAAAATAAGAAACATAGGAAACATAGTTGCTAAATCTGGGCAGGCGTGATGATTCACACCTATAATCCCAGCACTGTGGGAGGCTAAATCGCAGATCACTTGAGGTCAGTAGTTCAAGACCAGCCTGGGCAACATGGTGAGACCACCCCCTGTCCCCCACCCATCTATACTAAACTACAAAAATCAGCTGGGCATGGTGGCACGCGCCTGTAGCCCCAACTACTCAGGAGGTTGAGGTGGGAGGATCACTTGAGCCAGGGAAGCAGAGGCTGTAGTGGGACAAGATCCTGCCACTGCACTCCAGGCCTAGGCGACAGAGTGAGACCTTGTCTCAAAAAGGAAAGAAAAGAAAAGAAACATATATACTAAATTGAATAAATACAACTCCCAGTGGTCTGCTTTGGGATGTCTACATTTGTTTGTTTCGTGTGTGTGTGTGTGTGTGCGTGTGTGTGTGTGTGTGTGTGTGTGTGTGTGTGTGTGTAGTTTTCCTCTTCACATTCAAGGTGAAGGCAGAGGGAAAGGAAGTTGCAAGCAGCACTTAAGGGAAAAGCAAATAATAGAGGGAGAACAAGGAAAGTGAGGTGTAAACTTGTTGTGCCCAGGGGTGTTAGAGAGAACGCCACACTTTGAGACGAATTAAGAGTCCTTTATTAAGCCGGCGGCCAAAGAGACAACTAATGCTCAAAATTCTCTCGGAAGGGGCTTGATTAACTTTTATATCTAGGTTTAGGAAGGGGAGGGGGACTCAAATGCAATAATTCTACAGAAGTAAAAACATGCAAGAATCAAAAGAAGCAAAATGGTTACAGAGAGATAAACAACTTAAAAGACAAATGGTTACAAGAAGAGCAACGGTACCAGGTGCAAGGTTCTAAATCCTTCATTATAATTAGATATAGGGTCTATGCCGGACACGAACTCAAGGTTTTATGTTGTTATCTCTTTGAGAAAAATCCTGGGAACTTCATACATTGTTGGTGTTAGTACCTTATCAGTTAATTGGGCTTTTTTGAAATGCTGATTATCTGTTTACCCAGGCCAACTCCTTACGGAAGGGGGTTGGGTAATGAGCCCTTAGTGTCTTGTAAATTAAGAGGTCAATTGGAGTTTGTCCGGCCTTCCCAGCTAGAGAGAGTCTTACTTACATGAGAAGCAAAGCTAGGTGATTAAAGAGACAAGCAGGACAAAATTCAAAGTAACGAGTTAGAGTAAAAACAAGGTTAGGCGTTTCAAACTGACTGAGAGGGAACCAGCAAACTTTAATGACTTCTCAGCATTTATAAAACATGCCGAATGCTAAGAAGGGAAATGGGCAAAGCACACAGCATATCACATACTACCAGAAGCTGCCTCCTCTGTTTGATTTCATATCACCCTGTGCTTATCCCATTGTAGCCGTTGGATGTTACATAGTCTGATGACTGTGGTCATGAGACCATATCATAGAGGCATGTTTGTCTTCTGCTTCTAAACTGTTAGATCCTTGAGGATAGAAACTGTGGCTGAAGGTGAATATCTAGCACCTTGGAAGTTCCTGGTCCATAAAATGGCCAAGAAAAGAGAACGATTGTTATACATGTAATAGCCACTCCAAAGACATTTGTCAAACAAATGAATGCAAAAGGAATAACAGCTGCTGTGTCTCCTGGTGCTGGTTTCTGCCTACCTCCTTCCAAGTATTGTCCAGATCCCCAGCCTTAGACTTGTGATGCTGTCCAAAAACGGGTTTTAGAGAATATTTAAAGGACAGAGAGAGGACCCCTGACTTTTTAGGGTTTCCATTTTAACATGAAGCAGCCTCTCTGGTGTCCCAGTCTTGCATGTAGAAAGGAAGGAGATGTGTTCCATGTGAGTAGCCAAGGGAGACCTATCAAACAGCTGTTTGTCATGGACATGGAATTTCTGATTCTGGGGCTTCTGTTTAGATTCTGGCTTACTCCCTGCTCAGGTAAAGAACTGCAAAAATATTAACTCCTTATGCGTCAGTTTGATTAAGCAGAATTTTTTTTTTTTTGAGACGGAATCTTGCTGTGTTGCCCAGGCTGGAGTGCAGTGGCGTGAACTCAGCTCACTGTAAGCTCCGCCTCCTGGGTTCACGCCCCATTCTCCTGCCTCATCCTGTAGTTGCTGGGACTACAGGCACCTGCCACCACGCCCTCCTAATCTTTTTGTATTTTTTTTTTAGTAGAGATGGGGTTTCACCATGTTAGCCAGGATGGTCTCGATTTCCTGACCTCGTGATCCACCTGCCTCGGACTCCCAAAAGTGCTGGGATTACAGGCATGAGCCACCATGCCTGGCCCTGATTAAGCACATTTAAGTTTGAGGTAACAGCACGTCTCCCTTCATTGGATCACTCGGTAACTGGAAAACATACCTATTCTTGTAATGACACAAATGAAGTGGAGAAGCTATTTAAATTGGGAACACATCCAATGTTTTATTACATTTGAATTGCAGGGTCGGTATTCTTCAGTGCCCTTCATTTTTCTTCCAGCACTTTAATGTAATTAAAAGGCCAGCCTAGAAGGTTTTTACACTCGCAACTCTTCTATTTTATCTTCTCAGAGTTTCCAAATGTTATGCGTTTGAATTGTAGCCATTCCAGTAGTCCCCGTTCTCTTTGGGGTATATGTTCCAGGACCCACAGTGAGTGCCTGAAACCACAGATAGTATGGAACCCAATTACCATCCATCGGAACACGTTTCTGTTCGTGCCTTCCACCCACAAATGTAATACTTTTCCTATTTTTTTTTTTTTTTTTTTTTTTTTTTTTTTTTTTTTTGAGAGAGAGAGACCGAGACAGGGTCTTGCTTTGTTGCCCAGGATGGGCTCGAACTTCTGGCTTCAAGCGATCCTCTCACCTCGGACTCCCAAAGTGCTGGTATCACAGATGTGAACCATGGCACCTGGCCCTGCCTTTTCCATCTTAGCACTTCTCACATACTGTGGCCTTAATTTTTGCAGTTTGAAATGCCACAGCAAAACTAGCACAATTTCTTTTCTTTACAGTTGCACAGGTAGAAGATTCATTCTTACTGTAGATCTTAACCTCAGCATAAGATTGGTTTTTTCCTTATTAGTTGAGAACTTTCACCTTTTCACTTAAAGGATTTTACAGCTTCTCTTTGGCTGTAAAATTGCCAGCATCACTACTCTCATGCTTTGGGGCTATTATTAAGTCAAAGAAGGGTGACTTGAACCACAAGCACTGCAGTACTGCAATCCTCAATCCTGTTAACCTGGACAGCGACTAGATGACTAACAGGCGGGGAGCATCTGCAACGTGGACACGCTAGACAAAGGGATGATTCACATCCCGGACAGTGGAGCAGGACAGCATGCAATTTAAAACTTATGCTTATTTCTGGATTTTTCCATTTCATATTTTCAGAATGCTGTTGACCTCGGGTTACAAACTGCAGAAAGCAAAACTGTGGCTACGGGAGGACTGCTGTAGTTTTATAAAGTGAATGGTAGCATTGATGCATTTTTGTGAATAGTACTGCTTTAGAGGTCACATTTCTAATGAGCTTGTTTGTGTATACCTGCGTTTTTTATGTTCTAGTGATGTTGGAATTTGGTAACATTGTAATCACATGTGTCTAGAGAATCTGAACTCAAAATTGGTGACCCTTCAGGGGGGAATAAAGCCATTTAATGTGAACTGCTAAGAGCCAAGGGAGCCTTGATTCTGGAACCTAGAGCTAGGCTGCACAGCCTAGTTCCTTGCACAGCCCAGCACTCTCCAGACTGTACAGACAGTAGAGTCTGTCTCTACTCTAGCAGAGAAAGACCATTTTCTTTCCATATCCTTGATGTTACTGGAGAAAAACCCAGGCTTCCCCTGTTACCGGCCACCTCAGGATCATTCGGATCATGCCCCATTCTTTACCTACTTGCAGCTCTCAGTAGTTCTGGGGACAAGGTAACTGCTGAGTACTTTTCTCCAAATCATGTGCCAAGAACCATAAAGTCAGGGGCATCTAGCCAAGAGGCAACAATTTATCAATGAAAGTGCATTATAAATATATTTATTTTGTAATAATTGCTACAAATTGAAAGTGGAATTGGACATAGAGTCTCTGTAGATTGAAAGTAAAATCTTCTGGAATACTTTCCTGCCTAAACTCAGTCTTTAAATTAGATATATTTTTAGCTTCTTGAATATGACGTTAAAATATTAATATTCCTAGCCTAGAAGATTATATTTAGTCCTTTCTGAAACCCTTTCTTATATAGATGAACATTTTGTATCTGAATGGAAGTTTATATAAATAATTGCTAATATGGCCATATTGCTATCTGTGTCCAAAATAGACTCTGCTGTTTTGAAATCCTTGAGGATTTCAGAAAGTATACATTTGCTTGTTCTAATATTATCTTGTATTATTTCAGAAATCCTGCCAGAAACCTGTAGACAAATATATCGAGTATGATCCTGTTATCATCTTGATTAATGCTATATTGTGCAAAGCTCAGGCCTACAGACATATTCTTTTCAATACTCAAATAAATGTAAGTTGTGATAATTTCATTTTTTAATTTTATTTGATGCTGTTACATTTTAAAAGAATAATAAGAATTTTAAACAGAAGTAAAGAATATTATAAAAGAGGAAAAGAAATTCTAATGTGAGAGTGGGTCTTTTATTGCAACATATCTGGAAGTTTCTAGAAATAATAGATGTTGATTTTGAAAGGTGCACAATGCTTAGTGAGTGTTTAAGAATATGGTCACTGGCAGGAAACTGACAAGCCATGATCTGAATTACCTGCTAGTAAATTGAAACAATCATCACTGGTTTTTAACAGAATACAATTAGACATATCCAGGTAGGGAGAGAATTATACCTAAATGAGTTAAGCAAACATTAAAAGAAAAATGTTTTTTTAAAACATAATTTATTGCATTTTATACTTTGCTATTAAAGGAATGTATAAGGTAAATAACATTCAGTTTAATCAAAGTCCTGATTTATAAAGTTGAATTTTTCAAAATAAACTTTTAGTTTATTGAATTGTGAGCTCTTTAATAGTTTGGGTAGAGTTGACAGATAACATACAGGACAGTCAATTAAATTTGAATTTCATATATACCATGAATTAATTTTTTAGTATAAGAATGTCCCAAATATTGCATGGAACATACTTATACAATAAAAATGGATTCATGGTGTGTGTGAAACTCAAATTTAACTGGCGGTCCTGTTATTTTATTTATTTATTTATTTTTGAGACGGAGTCTTGCTCTGTCACCCAGGCTGAAGTGCAGTGGCGTGATCTCGGCTCACTGCAGCCTCTACCTCCTGGGTTCAAGTGTTCTACTGCCTCAGCCTCCCAAGTAGCTGGGATTACAGGCACGCATCACCAAGCCCAGCTAATTTTTGTATTTCTAGTAGAGATGAGGTTCGCCATGTTGACCAGGCTAGTCTGGAATTCCTGACCTCAAGTGATCCTCCCACCTCAGCCTCCCAAAGTATTGGGATTACAGGCATGAGCTACTGTGCCCAGCTCTTCCTCACTTTATATTGATGGAGAAAGTTCAACCTGAAGGAGGAATACATAGAAAAAAGCCAATTTTTGTTGCCTAGTATTTTTTATTTTAGCCAAAATTTCAGACTTTTAAGAATTAGGTTTTAATTGTTCTCTTTTAACATATTGAGTCATACTCATCCAGCTGGAGATATTTTTAAAAAACTGATGTTCAGACTAATAGTTTCTTATTCAATATCATGGAATCTTCAGATTAAGTCTATTCTCTTATTGCTGTTCCCACATATACATGAATCACATAAGTTTTTTGCTTGATTCTGTATAAAGGACAGAAATCAAAAATGTATAATGAAAGGTGAACTATTATTTAAAGCAGTGATTCTTAACTAGGGGTGCACATTAGAATCCCCCCAGAACTGTTTCAAAGTATGATGTCTATGTTGTACTATGAAGATTCTCAATCAGGACCTGGGCTCAGACATTTAAATTTTGAAAAAAATCTCCCCATGTGCTTCTGATGGACATTGCTGATTAAAACTCACTGATTACAAAATGACTACAATTAGCCACTTAATTGGGCAGTCCTGAATTTGAAAAGTGACTAGGTGGGATGCCACAAATACTCTGTACCTGTTGATACTAGTGCAACTGGGTTTCCTTACCTAATTGAATGGCAATGTCTTTGACTATCAGATCCATGGAAAACTCTGCATATTTTGTTTGCTTTGTGAAGCATACCTGAGGTGGTGGCAGCTTCAAGATTCCAACCAGAATACTGCCCCTGATGACTTGATCAGATATGCTAAGGAATGGGATTTCTATAGAATGTTTGCGATTGCTGCTTTAGGTAAGGAGATGCCATGCTTTCCATTCTTAGTTAACTATTCTTACTTAACTAATCTGGTTAAAACTAAGACATGTAGTCTTAATTGTTGGTAAGAAGAGCTAGTTAATATGGGACTTAAGATGAAATTTTCAGCTCTACCACTACTAACCTACGAGGTGAGTGTGTTTGAATCACCTGCTTTTTAAAAATTTGTTACCACGTATATGGTATGGAAGTAGTTATGCTTATCGGATTAGAAAGTTTCATAAAATATTTCGAAGCACAATATTGTTGATAAAATTCTTTTATTTTTATTATTATATATTTTTTAAGACAGGGTCTCACTCTGTTGCCTAGGCTGGAGTGCAGTGGCACAGTCACAGCTCACTGCAGCCCTGAACTCCTGGGCTCAAGCAATCCTCCTGCCTCGGCCCCCCCAGGTAGCTGGAACCACAGGTATGCACCACCACACCATGCACCACCTCCAGCTAATTTTTGTATTTTTTTGTTGAGATGGGGGGTCTTTCCGTGTTGCCCAGGCTGGTCTTGAACTCCTGAACTCAAGCAGTCCTCCCACCTCAGCCTCCCAAAGTGCTGGGATTACAGGTGTGAGCCACTGTGCCTGGCCAATAAAATTCTTAATGTTTAAGTTTTGATTATCCAATCTGAAAGTTAGCTAAGTCCTATCTTTATTAATAGAGATAATTGCCAGACATTACCCAATGTATTGTACTAATTGCATTATACTAATGCAGTGTATTTAATAGGGTTTGGTATTTTTTGTTACTTGTTACTTATCTGAGTGCATGCAGGGAATTTGGCTACTCCTCAAAATTCCTTAAGTTCAGGAAGTGCTTTTCAGAATTTCACTTCATAAGTTATTGTTTTCCTAGTGTCAGAATTGTGTTGAGCTAATTTCTGTGACTATTTTATTGCTAGTTCCATGCTTCTCTGCTTCTCAACTCTTTGATTATAATGAAATCTTACTTTAGTAATACTAAGTCTCCAGTCCACTCCAATATCACATTTCTGGGCTGTGTGTCTTCTTTTGTCCTCTTTTTTTCTCTGTCTGCTCTCGCTCTCTTGGTCATGTAACCTGTCTGCTGAGAACTCTCAAATGTCCATCTAGACCTTTCTCCAGACCTCCAGACTCTGCATCCCTCTGCCTTCTCAACATCACCACTTGGATATCTAATAAATCACCATACCCATAATTGAGCTCCTCATCTCTCTGCCTCTACCACAGCCTTCTCCTTCTCAGTTGTAACTCCATTCTTTTAGTTGCATTCACCAGAAAACCTTGCAGTCATCCCTGATGCCTCTTTCTTTGATACCCCATAGTCAGGTCATCAGGAAATCCCATTGGCTCCACCTTCAAAGTACTTCTACTTTTTTTTTTTTTTTTTTGAGACGGAGTCTCACTCTGTCGCCCAGGCTGGAGTGCAGTGGCGCGGTCTTGACTCACTGCAACCTCTGCCTCCTGGGTTCAAGCAGTTCTCCTGCCTTAGCCTCCCGAGTAGCTGGGATTACAGGCACGTGCCACCATGCTTAGCTAATTTTTGTATTTTTAGTAGAGACGGCTTCACCATGTTGGTCAGGCTGGTCTCGAACTTCTGACCTCGTGATCCGTCCGCCTCTGCCTCCCAAAGTGCTGGGATTACAGGCATGAGCCACTGCGCCCAGCCACACTTCTACTATTATACTACTGCTACCCTCCATTCCCTCCACGGCTGCCACACTGTTGCAGGCCACTCTCATCCTTCACCTGCATGACTACAGTAGCCTCCTTGTTTGCTAGCCCAGTTCTCCAACTGTGTATTTGCACGCAACACAGAGTAGTCCTTTTCAACCAAATCAGATCATGTCACTGTTGTGCTAGAACACAGTAGCTCCCCGTTTCACTCAGAGTGCAAGCTGAAGTCTTTACAGTGGGCCTTGTACTGGAATCTGCCCCTCCCACTGCGTCTCTCATTTTATCCACAGCTGTCATCTCCCATGTCTACTCTGACCCTCCCCATCTAGTTAACTTGCTTCAGAAACACTGGATGAGCTTCCACCTTAAGGCCTTTGAAGTGGCTCTTCCTGTGCCCGGAATGCCTGTCCCCCTGATGCCCAGATGTCTGACTCCTGCATACCCCTCAAGAGTTGGCTAAAATGACACTTTCTAAATGAAGTGTACCTCTGACACTCCTGATCTCCTGTTCCGGCTCTACTTTGTTTTTCTTATGGTACTTACTATTTAACATATCACAGAAGTTATTATCTTTTGTTAGTGCCTTTCCCCACTAACATGTCAACTGAATGAGGTCAGGGCTCTTTGTGTTAGTCACGGTTGTAGCTCAAGCACTTAGGTGCCTGGCCCAGGTGCTTAATAAATATTTGCTCAGCTGATTGAATGAATGATTGCATACATTCATCCACGCACTCTTAACTTGAGCAAGTCACCATCAGTTACACTCGGTGATTATTCATTCACTATTCATTATTATTCATTCCCTTAAGAAATATTTTTAAATACTTATTAGGTGCCAGTTACTACTTTAGGTACTTTAGGTACTAGAGATATATCCATGGAAAATACATAGAAAAATCTCCGCCTCCATTATTATGTAATTACTAAGGCTTATGACAGCTTAACCGCCATGATGTCCAGTCTATCGATAATTTTGTATACAATTTGGACTTTGCAACAATTTAAAATATTTGAAATATACAAAAGAATATGTTAACCTTTTTATCTTATGAAACATAATACTACTGAAAACATCCTTGAGCACATCATCTAGCCCAAGAACTAGAACCTAATATGATTTTAAACCTTAAAGCAAAGCCTCTTAAAAATTTTTTTTAATTTTTATTTTTTTAAGAGTGAAGGTCTTGCTCTGTCACCGAGGCTAGGGTGCAGTGGCACAGTCATAGCTCACTGCAGCCTGGAGCTCCTGGGCTCAAGGGATCCCCCTGCCTCCGTCTCCTGAGTAGCTGGAACTACAGGTACATGCTACTGTGCCTGGCTAATTTAAAAAAAAAAATTTATGTAAAGGCAGTATCTTACTCTGTTGTCCAGGTTGGTCTTGAACTCCTGGGCTCAAACAGTCCTCCCATATGGGCCTCCCAAAGTGCTGAGACTGCAGGCATCAGCCACTGTTCCTGGCCCTTCTTAAAATTTCTAAAGATAAACTGTTATATGTCCATATTTTGTATATACTATTAAAAACCAGGCTTGTTTTTAAATGGGTTGGAATTCTTATAGCAACTACTCTGTAGTAGATATTTTGATGCTTAATCAGAAGTTTCTTTCTACTATTACTTAACTTTTTTATGTGTCTTAGTCTAATCCCTAATTAGACTGTATAGTCCAAAAGAATATCTTGGCCGGGCGTGGTACCTCACACCTGTAATCCCAGCACTTTGGGAGGCCAAGACAGGTGGATTACTTGAGCTCGGAAGTTGGAAACCAGCCTGGGCAACATGGCAATATTCTGTCTCTACAAAAAATACAAAAATTAGCTGGGCATGGTGGCATGTGCCTGTAGTCCTAGCTACTTGAGGGGCAGAGACAGGAGGATCGCTTGAGCCCAGGAGGTCAAAGCTGCAGTGAGTCATGTTCATGCCACTGCACTTTTGCCTGGATGACCAAGACAGACTCTGTCTCAAAAAACTAAAAGAATATCTTACATAAATAAAGCATTTTATAATTTAAAAACTGCTTTTACAGGAATTATTTAATTTTCACAATCATCCTCTGAGGTAGGTAGGTTAGGGGTTCCCCCATCTATAGCTGCAGAAACATAGATGCATAGATTTTCCCGAAGTCTCACAGTGGGTCACTAGTGCTGAAACTGAGGAAAGTCTCCCGACCCCCTTCAGTGTTTTCCACACTGGAGTATTCTATACGTAGGTAGCAGCTCCTTCTGAACTGACCTGATTGATGAGAGCCTGAGGGCTGGTGTAGTTCCATAAATCTCGTAAATCCTAAATTTAAAAGATGTGGAGGTTATCTAGTCTAGCCTGTGTGGCGCAAGAAATCTTTCTGTCTAGACTCCTGAGAGATGCTGTAGCTTTGAGTGTCTCCAGTGACAGGAGTCAACCCACCATTGTTAGATGGTTCTTGTTATTCGCTATTCTTTCACTATTTATTCATTCAAGGAATTATTTATTGTTATTTTTATCCAAAATCCAAGCTTTACAATCTACCTGAGTACATTCTTGTAGCTGACAAGTCTTTTAGTTATTTTGAAGGGAGATAGCATGTCTCCCTTGAAGAATACATCATATTTCATGGAGGTTAACCATCCTAATTTTTTTTTTTTTTTTTTTGAGACGGAGTCTCGCTCTGTCGCCCAGACTGGAGTGCAGTGGCACAATCTCGGCTCACTGCAAGCTCCGCCTCCCGGGTTCACGCCATTCTCCTGCGTCAGCCTCCCGAGTAGCTGGGACTACAGGCGCCTGCCACCACTCCCGGCTAATTGTTTTTTGTATTTTTAGTAGAGACGGGGTTTCACCGTGTTAGCCAGGATGATCTCAATCTCCTGACCTTGTGATCCGCCTGCCTCGGCCTCCCAAAGTGCTGGGATTACAGGCATGAGCCACCATGCCCAGCCCCTAAATTATTTTTATTGATCCTAATTACCTACATTTGGAACCTCTTTAGTTTGGCTTTATTAAGTTTAAAAAAGAGGATAGTTGTTTCTGCTGTAATATAATACATGTGTCCAGAGAAACCTGATTCTGCAGAAACCTAAACTGCTAATAACATAGCTTATATGGGAAAAAATAAAATAAGGGACTGGCCACTCAGAATGGATACAGTTGGGTAATCGGATGACTAACAATCCTAATAAAAATTACAGCACAGTTAAAAGAGATGTTAAATTCCTAGTTAATAGAAGCTGAACAGATTGTGCTGTGTTCTGACCATAGGACACAGTGGAACTATTGCTGCTGTTAATCTGGACTCTGTCCTATGAATACTTTCTGGAAGTGTAAGGAATTGCATTTTAAAATGTTGTTAAAATGAGTAAAGGAAGTCTCAGTTAACAATATTAAAAAATCATGTGGATAATAGGCACTTAAATAGTGGAAGAATGCACAGAGAAAAATGTCTTCCTGTGTTATCCCATTCTTACGATAGGTCCCATCTTTCAGACTGAAAAGCCTGCATTCTCCTGTTTTATTCTTTGGAGATCTCTTACACTGAAGATGTTTAAGCAGAATCTTACTTCCTTCAAGGAACTTCAGAAAGTTGATGATTACAATTCTAATGGAGTTACTTTTTCTTCAGTGGATAATGTTTCTGAAATTATACCAGCAGGATCTAATACAAAAGCCAGGGGTTTATTTAAAAAAAAAAAACAACACACAAACAAAAAGAAGAAGAAAAAGAGATTGTGATCTTGAGAAAGTATTTCTTATGAAGTCAGCTGATAAGCTGTATTTTAGAATGGTGGTTTATTTGTTTTTAAGGGGATATATTTTGGATGGGGACATTCATACTTTTATTTTCCATTTCTTCTTTAGAACAAACTGCCTATTTTATTGGCATTTTTACCTTCCTGTGGGTAGAACGGCCCATGACGGCAAAAAAAAAGCCCAACTTCATTTTGCTGCTGAAAGCATTATTATTATCTAGCTACGGAAAACTCTTGCTGATTCCAGCTGTCATTTGGGAACATGACTACACATCTGTGTGCCTCAAACTCATTAAAGTATTTGTTCTTACATCAAATTTTCAGGCAATTAGAGGTATGTTTATGTGTTTATTCTGCCTTCTCAGTTTTCAACCCATAAAAAGCTTAAAGCCTTGTTTCTGGGGTGCAGTTTTTATATAACCTGTTGAACACTGGAATTCTTCATCGCATAGTAATAATACCTAACACTTCTATAGCACCTTATACATAGCAGGTACTCAGTGTTTGTTACATTTAACCATATAGTACTTTATAGTTTTCAAAATGCTCTCATATGCATCATCTCTGTCCTGTGAGGTTAGTAGAACTGCCATTATTTGATTTTATGAATGAGCTCCTGGGGCTCTGAGGGTTAAGTGGCTTGTCCGACGTTACATGGCTGGGCAGTTATCAAGTCAGGAGAGAATGCTGAGTATCTGCCTCTCAATCCAGGACAATTTCTACTATATCAGGAAGAGCAGCCCTGTGTGTCTTCATTTTTCCCATATATTTTACATAGTGCTATTTTATTTATTTTTATTTTATTTATTTTTTTGAGATAGGGTGTCACTTGGTCACCCAGGCTAGAGTGCAGTGATGTGATCAGAACTCACTACAGCCTCTACTTCCTGAGGTCAAGTGATCCTCCCAACTCAGCCTCCTGAAAAGCTGGCCACAGGTATATGCCACCACACCCTGCTAAATTTTTGTAGAGACAGGGTTTCGACATGTTGCCAGCCTGGTCTTGAACTCCTGGGCTCGAGCAGTCTGTCCACCTTGGCATCCCAAAGTGCTGGGAACAAGCATGAGCCGCTGTGCCTGGCCGAAGTCCTATTTTAAATGAACTTATTACCTGATACTTTTTATCAGAATGCTTGTCATCTTGCAAACTGTGACACTGAAAGTATCATTTTGTTGTTGTTGTCGTTATTCTCTTATAGCGTTAGAATTTTTTGTTTTCTCCTTTGATATTCACGGGAATCTGCCGCTTGATATGAGGAGAAGGGGCTCAGTGTTTTGTTGTAAGTAGAGGCTTTGGTTCTCTAAAAATGTGTAGATGGAAAAGTGGGAGAAGGTAACAGCATAGATTAATAAGAACAAACATTGATTTTTCCAAAAACAGCTTTACAAAACAATTCATACTACCCGAAAATTTACATGTCAATATCGTTTCATTAATTCTGAACTTATTGGCTGCCTTCTCCTTTCCAGTGACCCTAAACATCAACCGTAAGCTCTCCTTCTTGGCCGTGTTGAGTGGCTTACTGCTGGAAAGCATCATGGTCTACTTCTTCCAGAGTATGGAATGGGATGTTGGAAGTGATTATGCCATCTTTAAATCTCAGGACTTCTGAAGAGGTACTGAAAGCATGTAGTGTTCATGCATTCAGACATGTAGCCTTCTCAAATAAGACAGATGTCATTGTAAAAGAAGTCGGTGCCCTTACATAACCCATTCTCTAGCGTCTAACTGCCTCTAGGTCACCCTCATCTTCCTCAAGGACTTTACTACATGGCCCCCAGGGGTCTTCACTTTAGTTCCTTTTGTCACCCTCTGGGACATCAACATCCATGTTTTTGTTGCTTCTAGGGTCCTATCCTCACAATTTTTCTAACACCTCCACTCCCACCCATTCTACTAGGATTGCAGACTCTAAAACTGTCTCCTACCCTTCCCAACCATTCTCCACCCTCCCTTCCCCCATGCCAGGTTTTTGCTGCCTTTCTCACCTCTTAGTCTCTTGACCTCTCATTTTCGCTACTTCTGACCTGCCTTGCCTCTTTTTTAACCACACCTGGAACCTATAGGCTGTGTTGTGCTCTTCTCTGTTAGTACCTTGACATCCATCAGCCTTTTGCCTTCCATCATACGTGCTTTGCTAAGGCTGTTTGGGTGAGTCTTGCCACCTGTCTCCTAGAGAGCCTCGCAGTGTTTCCTGAGCAGCCACCTCTGCCAGTGCACAGAACCTCAGAAGATGTCATGCTGCTCCTGTGCCTTCATAGTCACCTCCAGTGACCCTCCCATCAGAGGGCCATACCTCGATTGTTCTGTTCTGGTCGTCCCCTTTGTCTGCTCTGACTTTGCTGAGAATTGAGACCTTCACAAGTTCCTTAAGCTTCCCTCTTCACGTCAGTTCGTCTTCGGTCTTCCTCATTCTTTCCTCCTTCTCTCCTTCCTATCTCATGTTGTGCTCAGCTTCCTCTCTGGGGCTGTTTCTGACCTGTGGGTGTTCCCCTCCCTCCAGTCACAGCCAGACTGTGGATGGCAGCCTCTGTGTTAGGAAGCAGGACCTTAGGCAGGATCCTGGAAGGCTGGGCCAGAGAGTGAGGAAAACACTGGAGCAGAGGGACACAGACCCCCGTCAGGGAGAGTTGAGGCTGCGCTTTGGTCTCTCCCTCCTCGCTGTTACATCCTCCTTGCAAGTAGCGGCTGTAAAGCTTCTCTGCCTCTCCTAACATGCCATCCTCCACTCCTGTTGCCTCAATCTCTCTTCATGCCCAGCTAATCCACCTTTTTGGGTCTTCAGACATATCGCTGCTTCATTGATCCTCTCTCCTGTATAGCAGCTCTCTCCCCTCTGCCTATGCACAGCTCTTCATTCCAGAACAGTTGATGTAAGCCTGCTTCCCCTGTTTCTTCACTGCCTTTCCTCTTTGTAAAACATACTTTCACCCAGAGTCTCTTGAACCTATGCTCCTAAAATTCACAAGGAGAGCAGGGCACAGTGGCTCATTTCTGTAATCCCAGCACTTTGGGAGGCCGAGTCAGGAAGATGGCTTGAGCCCAGGAGATCAAGACCAGCCTGGGCAACATAGTGAGACCCCATCTTTACAGGAAAAAAAAAAAAAACAATAGCTGGGCATGGTGGCGTACACCTGTACTCCCAACTACTCAGGAAGCTGAGGTAGGATGATTGCTTGAGCCCATGAAGTTAAGGCTGCAGTGAGCTGTGATTGTGCCACTGCACTCCAGCCTGGGTGACAGAACAAGATCCTGTCTCAAAAACAAAAAAATACACAAGGAAGCCAATTCCTCCTTGTTTTCTGAGTCCTCCTCCTCCCTTAGCTCTGCTCCAGAAACCTCTGGCTTTTGGCTCCTGCTGAAACAGGCCACCCAGTCCCTTCCCATTAGATCTTTCTTCACTGACTTCTTTGCCTGTGCCAGGATTCTGTCCTCAGCCCTCTTCCTTCCCTTCACTGTGCACGTAACTGTGTACTTTCCTTCCAGGCCTCATACCTCCAGCTTCCCCTCTCTGCCAGGTCCCCTGCCTCCTACCAGGACGGTCCTGCCATTACCTCAAGTGTCCACAGGTCTGATGTGGAATTCGGTGTCACCTGCACTCTCCTGTTGAAGCAGAGTCCTTTTCTGATAACGTTTCTCTTGAAATGCTCCTCAGCTCTTTTCACCCACACCTCACCCTCTCCTGCCTAAAGGTTCTAACACCTCCAAACCAGCCTGCAACCCATACTGCTGCCATGTAAGTCTTCATGGAGCACCATTCCTGGGGGCCTTCTCAATTTTTCCATAATTTCTGATTGCTGACATAGGAGTTTCTTGTGTCTTTCTGAAGAATGTCTTTAGTTTTCTCTGAGCATTAGTGTGGCCCTCTGTAATGTCATCATCCTAATTCTTCTCCCCAGGCATGTTCCTACTTAAGTTCCACATCCACCACAGGTCCTCTCTTCTCCAAACTTGCCTTATGCTCTCCTTAGGTCCTGCAGTGCCCTTGTCTCCACCTAACCAGATACGGTCAGCTTTGCCTCTCCATGGAATAAGTGAAGACTTTCCAAAAACTCCAGTTTGCAGTGCTTACTTTTTCCGTTGACCTCCGAGTGCTCAGCTTAACACCTACAGCAGTCACGTGCCCAAGAACTTCTGACATTGCCCCAGGGTCAGATCTTTTGTTTCTACTTTTCATAAGTGCATCTGCTTGTCTGACAATCAATTATAATTTATAGTTAGGAAAATAAGGTCACATATCTTGAATCACTTGAAAGCCATTACCCTGTTTTTTATTATCTCATGTTTTATACTTATCTATGTCTGTCTGGTATTAAAATTTCATGTGTTTATGCCTCACTCTCCCAGCCTGTTCAGAAGTCTGGTGCTGGGAGAGGCATGCCTTGGGTTCCTTTGTATCCACCTTAACTCAGGGCCTGCCCTAGTGTCTGTCAGTTTGATTTTCAGCAGAATGTGGCATTCTAAATACATCCTTTATTTTTCACAGTTTTATTCTTCTTCACTATCTGTGGCATGACCAGCTGTATCTGAAAGAGAAAAGACATGAAATATAAACCAACCTCCTCATTTCTGTTGAGTAAAATGAAGCAAAGATTGGAAACACTTTCTGAAAAAGAAAGCAATGATAATAGCGGTGGATACCCACCCCCACAAATGCACCCAAGAGACAAGCCATTTACATACAGATATTCACAGTCACACATAGAAACACCCACATGGACACAAGGAATGTTGCTGCAGAGACTGAATGACATGCAACAGGTGAAGGTTTATACGTTATACACAAGGCCAGGTAAGCGCTCATAATTCACACATAATAAAACATCTAGGTTTCATTCCTTTGACATGTTTATATCTTTTTAATTTAAATGTTGTTACTGGCTTAAAATATTTTGTGTTCTTACAATAGAAACGCTTTTAATAAAGTCTTTCAGAATAAACCAAGTTTTTGTAAATTTTCAATTCAATAATTAAGGTAATCTTTAAAATTGGATGATCCAAAAATAAGTGATAATGAAAACCACTGAGTTATATACTTTGCAAGGGTAAATTACATCTGAATAAAGCTGTAATTAAAAACAACACCTCTCCCCTTTCCACTCTCCCTGTTTCATTCATTTGTTCTTTCACTATTATTCATGCCACAGATACTTACAGAGCACCTGCTATCTCTGTGGCAGACCCTGTGGTTACAGGGGTGAATAGGACATGATCCCCTTGAAGCTTACTGGGCAGTGCTGGATTTGGAAGTATGAGTAGAGAATCACAGTGCAGTGCAATGAAGAGGTGGGGATAGGGTGCTCGGGCAGTACAGAGTAGCAACACCTATTGCAGCATTTGAAGCTGGGAGGGCTTTGGAGAGGAAGGGGAAAGAAAAGGAACTTTCCAGTATCCCTGCTGGAGAGAACAAGAAGACATGCTGAATTAGAGGGTGGAGAGTGTGTCGGGGGGTGTGCAGGGCCTGAAAGTACATAGACACCTGGGCGAGGCTCGGCAGTGGGGGCTTTACAGTGACACTAGGAAGTCATGTAAATATGGGTTATGAAGAGCCTTTTGTAATTTGTCCCCAAGGACTGTGAAACCAGCACAGCTAGTTAAACAGAAGAATCCAAAGATTAGAAAAAGTTAATTGGAGTAACATCTCAAAACAGCCACAGGACGGGGAGGACCATTGACCACCCGATGGAGCCTGTAAGTGTTAAGGGGAGAGAGAGAGAACAGGATTCAAAAGCACAACCAAAAGGAAAAGGTCAGTTAAAAACAAGTGTCAGAGGCCATCCACGGTGGCTCATACCTATAAACCCAGCACTTGGGGAGGCTGAAGTGGGCAGATCACTTGAGCCCAGGAGTTTGAGACCAGCCTGGAAAACATGGCAAAATCCTGTCTCTACAAAAAAAAAAAAAAAAAGCCAGGCTTGGTGGCACACAGCTGTAGTCCAAGCTACTCAGGAGGCTGAGTTGGGAAGATCACTTGAGCCTGGGAGGCAGAGGCTATGGTAAGCCAAGATCGTGCCACTGCACTCCAGCCTGGGTGACAGAAAAAGACTCATCTCAAAAAAAAAAAAAAAAAATTGTCAGAAAAAGTAATAACCAAAAATGTAATACATCAATGATCATTTTGCAAATCTTTGTCTGATCTGTTAACTCAGATAAGTGAAGATAAACGCATCATCCATTTATAAATTAATAAATCTCATTTTTTTTAATCACCACAAAGGTGTTTATTAGTCACTAAAAAAAAACAAGTAGATCTGGAGGAAGATGGTGGATAGGAGACAGGGCTAACATGCAGCTCCCACTTGGACAGACAGAATAGTGTGGAGACTCACCATGGACTTTTGCTCCAAGGACCACCACAGGAACATGCCAGGCAAGCCAAAAGAATTTACAAATCCTTTGAAAGAAGCAGCACACCACTGCAAATTCTGCAAGACAGGCAAAAAATTGTGAGTTCTCAATGTGTGAAAGGGGGAAAACTTACCTCTGAACACACATCCCCACTGGAGAATCTGAAAATCCAGATCACAGAAGAAGGATTTAACCCTACCTAGAGCTGAAACATTTAGGGAGCCACAGAAAATACAAAAGTAGAAGCAACAGTGGGAAGAGCCTTATAGGCATTCCCAGTCTCCAGCTCAAGCCCAGGAAAGCTATCCCCGACTACATCTCACAGGAGCCCTCAGGGAAGGCAGACAGCAGAATTAGGGAGGGCTTAAACAGAGTGAAAGAAGCTTCCAACTGAAATTTGTAATAATTTTTACTAGGCACGAATTTTATTGAGCAGAATCCAGTGGGTGAATGGGAACTGCTGCAGATATGAGTGCAGGAGCTGCCACCAACGATGTGGGCAGACGTGGAGGGGTAAGACCTCAAACTTGTGCTTACTTTCTTAGTGGGGAAGTTTACAGCCTGGGGCAAGGGCTGAGTGGGGCACACAGGAGTGAGACCAGCCTCACCAACTACATGGGAGCTGGGGAGGCCTCTCACTACCAGCTATCTCCCACTTCCCTGGTGAACTAGATGACACAGCAGAGGCAGCCATAATCCCTTCTGGAACGTAACCCCATTGGCCTGAGAACCACCCCCTCATCCTGCACAATGGCAGTGGCAAGCCCTACCCAAGGAGAGTCTGAGCCTAGACCCACCTATCCCTGCCCAATGCCACCACGGTATTTCTCTACCCACCCTGATAACTGATTACAAAAGACATAAATTCTTGGGAGCTTTATGGCCTCACCCATCATCCAAGAAGCCTGAATACTTATCCTGGCCAACTTAAGACAAGCTTATAGCCCCCTTCTACTACCACAGCTGGTGTTCTCTTGAAACCACCACCTCCTGGCTAGAGGCCAACCAACTCAGGCCATTATAGCAACTCATTACAGAATAACCCTGTTCCCAGGAAGGAGAAAACAGCTAATTCCACTGTCTGCAACATCCTGGCTAACCAGAGGTCCTGAGTCTGTCCACGTGACAACTTCACTGCTGGCATAACCAGCATTCAAGAAAGCCAGCACACTAAGCATATCTACAACCAAGGACTCTCACAGTCTATTTCACTCCCTGCCTCCTCCACCAGAGCAGGTGCTGGTATCCATGGTTTGGAGACCTGAAGATGAATCACATCATGAGACTCTTGCAGACATTCTCCAGCATCAGCCTAGAGCCTGGTGGACCCGCTGAGTGGATAGGCCCAGAAGAACAATAACAATCACTGCAGTCCAGCTCTCAGGAAGCTCCGTCCCACGGGAAAGTGGGAGTGTCCCACATCAAGGGATGACCCCATGGCACAAAAGAATCTGAACAGCAGGCCTTGAGTTCTAGATCTTTCCACCAAAATAGTCTACCCAAATGAGAAGAAACCAGAAAAGTAATTCTGGTAATATGACAAAACAGGGTTCTATAACACTCCCAAAAGATCACACTAGCTCCCTAGCAATGGATCCAAACCAAGACGAAATCTCTGAATTGCCAGAAAAAGAATTCAGAAGGTTGATTATTAAGCTACTCAAGGATATACCAGAGAAACTTGAAAACCAACTTAAAGAAATCTAAAAAACAATACAAGATATGGATGAAAAATTCTCCAGAGAAATAAATGTCATAAGGAAAAAACAATCACAATTTCTGGAAATGAAAGACACTTAGAGAAATACAAAATGCACCGGAAAGTTTCAACAATAGAACAAGTAGAAGAAAGAAATAAAGAGCTCAAAGACAGGGCTTTCAAATTAACTCAATCTGACAGAGACAAAGAAAAAATATTTTTTAAAAAATGAACAAGCCTCCAAGAAATGCGAGATTATGATAAATGGCCAAACCTAAGAATAATTGGTGTTCTTGAGAAAGAAGAGAAATCTAAAAGTCTGGAAAACTTATTTGAGGAAATAATTGAGAAAAACTTCCCTGGTGTTGCTAGAGATCTAGATATCCAAATAAAAGAAACTCAAAGAACACCTGGAAAATGCATCACAAAAAAGATCATCACCTAGGCACACAGTCATCAGGTTATCTAAAGTCAAGATGAAAGAAGAATCTTAAGAGCAGTGAGACAAAAGGATCAGGTAACCTATAAAGGAAAACCTATCAGATTAACAGTGATTTCTCAGCAGAAACCTTAAAAGCCAGAAGGGATTAGGGTCCTATATTTTAGCCCCCTGAAACAAAATGATTGTCAGCCAAGAATTTTGTATCCAGAAAAACTAAGCTTCATAAATGAAGACGAGAAAAAATCTTTTTCAGACAAACAAATGCTGAGAGAATTCACCAGTGCCAAACCAGCACTACAACAAATGCTAAAAGGAGTTCTAAATCTTGAAACAAAACCTTGAAATACACCAAAATAGAACCTTCTTAAAACATAAATCTCACAGGGCCTACAAAACACACACACACACACACACACACACACAAACACACACGCAATGGGGGAAAAAGGTATTTAGGCAACAACTAGCATAATGAATAGAAAAGTGCCTCACATCTTAATACTAATATTGAATGTAAATGGCCTAAATGCTACACTTAAAAGATACAGAATGGCAGAATGGATAAAAATCCACCAACCAAGTATCTGCTGTCTTCAAGAGACCCACCTAACACATAAAGACTCATAAACTTAAGGCAAAGGGGTGGAAAAATACATTCCATCCAACTGGAAACCAAAAGCAAGCATGAGTAGCTATTCTTACATCAGACAAAAGAGACTTTAAAACAACAAAAAAAGAGAGAAAGTGGGCATTGTATAATAATAAAAGGATCAGTCCAACAGGAAAATATCACAATCCTAAATATATATGCACTTAACATTGGAGCTCCCAAATTCATAAAACAATTACTACTAGACTTAAGAAATGAGATGGCAACACAATAATAGTAGGGGAATTCAATACTCCACTGACAGACAGCACTAAACAGGTCATCAAGACAGAAAGTCAACAAAGAAACAATGGACTTAAACTATCCCCTAGAACAAATGGACATAGCAGATATTTACAGAACATTCTACCCAGCAACTGCAGAATATACATTCTTTTCCTCAGCACATGGAACACTGTCCAAGATAGACCATGATAGGTGACAAAACAAGTCTCAATACATTTAAGAAAATCAAAATTATATCTAATATCCTCTCAGATCACAGTGGAATAAAACTGGAAATTAACTCCAAAAGGAACCCTCGAAACTACACAAATACATGGAAATTAAATAACCTGCTCTTAATGATCTTGAGGTCAACAACAAAATCAAGATGGAAATTTAAAAAGTTATTTGATCTGAACAATAATAGTGACATAAACTATTAAAACCTCTGGGATATAGCAAAAGCAATGCTAAGAGGAAAGTTCATAGCATTAAATGTCTACATCGAAAAGTCTGAAAGAGCACAAATAGACAATCTAAGGTCACACCTCAAGGAACTAGAGAAACAAGAACAAACCAAACCCAAACTTAGCAGAAGAAAAGAAATAACAAATATCAGAGCAGAACTAAATGAAATTTAAACAAAAATATACAAAAGATAAATGAAACAAAAAAGCTGGTCTTTGAAAAGATAAACAAAATTAATAGATTATTAGTGAGATTAACCAAGAAGAGAGAAGATCCAAATAAGGTCAATTAGAAACAAAACAGGAGATATTACAACTTATCATACAGAAATACAAAAGAACGTCCATGGTTACTATGAACACCTTTACATGCACAAACTAGAAAACCTTGAGGAGATGGATAAATTTCTAGAAATATACAACCCTTCTAGATTAAATCAGGAAGAAATAGAATCTCTGAACAGATCAATTAAAAGTAGCGACATTGAAACAGAAATAAATCCCAACAAAAAAAGTCCAGAGCCAGATGGATTCACAGCTGAATTCTATCAGACATTCAAAGAAGAACTGGTACTAATCTTACTGAAATGATTCCAAAAGATAGAGAAAGAAGGAATCCTCCCTAAATCATTCTATGAAACCAGTATCACCCTAATACCAAAACCAGGAAAGGACAAACAAAAAAAAAAGAAAACTACAGATCAATGTCCTTAATGAACATAGATGCAAAAATCCTCAACAAAATACTAGCTAACCAAATCCAACAGCATATCAGAAAGATAATCCACCATGGTCAAGTGGGTTTCAGGGATGCAGGGATGGTTTAACGTATGCAAGTCAATAAATAAATGTAATACATCACATAATCAGAATTAAAAACAAAAATCATATGATCATCTCAATAGACCCAGAAAAAGCATTTGACAAAATCCAGCATCCATTTATGATTAAAACCCTCAGCAAAGCTGACATAGAAGGGACATACCTCGGGGTAATAAAAGCCATCCATAACAAACCCACAGCCAACATTATACTGAACAGAGAAAAGTTGAAAGCATTCCCCCTGAGAACTGAAACAAGACAAGGATGCCCATTTTCACCACTTTTTTACAACATAGTACTGGAAGTCCTAGCCAGAGCAATCGGACAAGAGAAAAAAATAAAGAGCATCCAAATCAGTAAAGAGGAAGTTAAACTGTCTGCCTATCAACGATATGATCATATACCCAGAAAACCCTAAAGACTCATCCAAAAAGCTCCTAAATTCAATAAATGAATTCAGTGAAGTTTCAGGCTACAAAATCAATGTACACAAGTCAGTAGCACTGCTATATATGAACAACAACTAAGCTGAGAATCAAATAAAGAACTCAATCCCTTTTACAACAGCTGCAAAAAATAAAATACTTAGGAATACACCTAACCAAGGAGGTGAAAGATCTCTACAAGAAAAACTACAAAACACTCCTAAAAGAAATCATCAACAGCACAAACAAATGGAAACACATTCCATGCTCATGGATGAGAGGAATCAATATTGTGAAAATGACCATACTGCCAAAAGTGATCTACAAATTCAATGCAATTGCCATTAAAATACCATCATCATTCTTCACAGAACTAGAAAAAACAATCCTAAAACTCATATGGCACCAAAAAACAGCCTGCATAGCCAAAGTAAGCCTAAGCAAAAAATAAATCTGGAGGTATCATATTACCTGGCTTCAAACTATAGTTCAAGGCTATAGTTACCAAAACAGTATGGTACTGGTATAAAAGCAGGCATGTAGACCAATGGAACAGAATAGAAAACCCAGAAATAAAGCCAAATACTTACAGTCAATTGATCTTTGACAAAGCAAACAAAAACATAACGTAGAGAAAGACACCCTATTCAACAAATGGTGCTGGGATAATTGGCAAGACACATGTAGAAGAATGAAACTGGATCCTCATCTCTCACCTTATAAAAAAAATTAACTCACGATGGATCAAAGACTTTAAGACCTGAAACCATAAAAATTCTAGACTATAACATTGGAAAAACTCTTCTAGACATTGGCTTAGTCAGAGTTAATGACCAAGAACCTAAAAGCAAATGCAACAAAAACAAAAATAAATAGATGGGACCTAATTAAACTAAAAAGTTCCTGCACCCAACGAAGGACTAATATCCAGAATCTACAAGGAACTCAAACAAATCAGAAAAAAAAAAAAACATCAAAAATGGGCAAAAGGCATGAATAGACAATTCTCAAAAGAAGATATACTAATGGCCAACAAACATATGAAAAAAATGCTCAACATCACTATCAGGGAAATGCAAATTAAAACCACAATGAGATACCACCTTACTCCTGCAAGAATGACCATAATTAAAAAATCAAAAAATAATAGATGTTGGCATGAATGTGGTGAAAAGAGAACACTTTTACACTGCTGGTGGGAATGTAAACTAGTACAACCACTATGGAAAACAATATGGAAATTCCTTAAAGAACTAAAAGTAGAACAACCATTTGATCCAGCAATCCCAATACTGGGTATCTACCCAGAGGAAAAGAAGTCATTATATGAAAAAGACACTTGCATATGCATGCTTATAGCGGCACAATTCACAATTGCAAAAATATGGAACCAGCCTAAATTCCCATCAACTAATGAGTGGATAAAGAAAATGTGATTGTATATATACGTAATTATATATATATATTCTACAAGAAAATGTGATATACAATGAAATACTACTCAGCCATATAAAGAAATGAAATAATGGCATTTGCAGCAACCTGGATGGAGTTGGAAACCATTATTCTAAGTGAAATAACTCAGGAATGGAAAAGCAAATATCATATGTTGTCACTTATAAGTGGGAGCTAAGCTATGAGGACACAAAGGCATAAGAATGATATAATGGACTTTGGGGACTGGGGGGAAGGGTGGGAGGGAAGTGAAGGGTAAAAGACTACACACTGGGTACAGCGTATACTGCTCGGGTGACAAGCGTGCCAAAATCTCGGGAATCACCACTAAAGAACTTATCCATGTAACCGAAACCACGTGTTTTCCCAAAAACTATTGAAGTTAAATTATAAAATTTTAAAAAAGTATTAGAAGCCCTTTCCCTAATAACAGCAAGATGTCTGTGAGCAGTGTTTAGCTAAGGGCTGTGGAATGTGGTAGAGGACTGGCCTAGACCCACTAGTTGCAAAGGAAGCCCATCTGATTCATTGCTAATGTTAGACTCCATTCAGCATATTATTTCTTACATCATTCCTTGAAGTGGGGAAAGAAAGAGTAAGACTCCAGGAAGAAGGCAGAGAGGCTGCCTTCAAATGGCCAACTAGGTAGACTGCAAGAGAAAGTAACTCATTATTCCCTCCCCACAGTCTTCCCCACACCCAAGCCTGGAGAGTTCATCTCATCTTTACACTGTGAACTCATGGCCCTAAATCTTTCCAACACTTTTAATGTAAAATTTCAAAGATACGGAAAAGTTGAAAGAATGGTACAATGAAAACACATGTCTACCATCTAAATTTTACAGTTGTTAACTTTGCCCTGACTTCATTTTAAAGCTTGTTTTAAAGATGATTCCAGAGATTAGGCAGAATTGCCCACTTGGTTACACTGGGAAGTTAGAAGGTGGTGGGGATGCTTGGTGCCTTAGAATGATGTCTATATTTCCCAAACCACCCCTCCTGACCACCCCCCTATATTGAGATGCAGTCTAACAACAACAAAAATGTATTTATATGAAAATCCACTTGAAGTAATAAAAATTAAATCACTTTTAGGTGCCCTATCTTTACTGAAAAGCACATGCACTCCAGCCATCCTAGAAAACCTGTCTTGGAATCACAATTATGTATCAGTTTTCTTCACACTATGGTTATGCTTTGACAGAGCCCACTGCTCACTGCTGAGTTTTCAACACAGCAAAGAGCCACAGTAGAAAAAGTACTCAATTTATGAGAGCACAATATAGACTAATAAGTCACATAGAAAATAGACAAGTGGTCTTTTGTTAAAAGATTCTCTACCAGAGTGTTTGAAGCCATTTGAACCGAATTGGGAAGAAAACATCATGGTGAGCCAAAGAAAGGGTATTTTTAGATGTTTACAAGAAGACCAAAAGCATTAACCAGAAAAGTTAAAGACATTTTTAAAATCACAGTCTTAGAATGGTTAAGGGCCGGGTACAGTGGCTCACGCCTGTAATTCCTGCACTCTGGGAGGCTGAGGCAGGAGGATCACTTTAGCACAGGAGTTCAAGACCCTATCTCTACAAACAAATTTAAAAAATTAGCTCGGAGGTGGGGCGCAGTGGCTCACACCTGTAATCCCAGCACTTTGGGAGGCTGAGGCAGGGGGATCACCTGAGGTCAAGAGTTCAAGACCAGCCTGGCCATCATGGCGAAAACCCGTCTCTACCAAAAATACAAAAATTAGACAGGCGTGGTGGTGGGCTCCTGTAATCCCAGCTACTCAGGAGGCTGAAGCAGGAGAATTGCTTGAGCCCAAGAGACGGAGGTTGCTGTGAGCTGAGATCGTGCCACTGCACTCCAGCCTGGGTGACACAGCAAGACTCCATCTCAAAAAACAAAAAAATTAGCCAGGAGTGGTGGCCTACGCCTGCGGTACCAGCTACTTGGGAGGCTGAAGTGGGAGGGTTGCTTGAGCCTGGGAGTTTGAGGCTACAATAAGCCATGATCATGCCACTGCACTCCAGCCTGGGTAACAGAGTAAGACTTTATCTTAAAAATAAAATAAAATAAAATAAAATAAAATAAAATAAAATAAAATAAAATAAAATAAAGAACAGTTAAGGGATTTTCTCAAGGTCACACAAGTAGTGACAAAATTGGGTCTGCCTTGGTCTCCACTCCTAGTCTAATGGAGGGTCTCTATTTGTATTCTAATGGTGGATCCCTGCGGGGGTGCGGTCTGTCTTCCTTTATTGAGAAAGAGGATAATATACTGTTCTTCAAATACAGGGAATAGAGAACAAAAGAATTTTAAATACACAGGAACTCAAATGACCAGAACCAGATTTAAATCTTAGCCTTTTTTCTCCAAGGGAAGAAGCTGTGGTAGGAAACAAGCATTTTCCTGTATTCTTTCCTTAGTGGAACACCTGTGAGACTTCATGGCTCTAACACTTCCAACCACAACCTTTAGTTATAAAATTGGGAACGTTCTGAAGGGGAATTTTTACATTTAGTCTTTTTAAGCCAAGACTAAATGTAAAATATTCCCTCACTCCTGAATATCCAAAAGAGGAAGAGCATTATAAACGCAAGAACCTTGGTAGGCAAAACAGGATTCTATTTCTTTATCCAATTTAACAAATATTTATATATACTATCTACTTTGTGCCAGGCACCATTTTAAGGGCTTTAAAAGTATCAGCTTGTTTAATCCCCACAGTATCCCTAGAAGATGCTTGTCAGCTAGAAGAACCCATCAGGAAGTTTTCTGAGAGTATTGGAGGAGTTTGAATAATGTGCTGGGTCTGTAGATTGAGTAATGTTGGCGTACAGTGAGTGATGATGGTGTAGACTGAGTGATAATTGTGCAGATTGAGTGATGATGGCATAGGCTGAGTGACGATGGTGCACATTGAGTGATGATTGTGTAGAATGAGTGATGATGGCATACATTCAGTGATGATAGCACAGATTGAGTGATGATATTGCAGACTGAGTGATGATTGTGTAGACTGAGTGATGATGGTGTACAATGAGTGAGTGATGATGGTGTAGACTGAGTGATGATTGCATAGACTGAGTGATGCTTGTGCAGATTGAAAAATGATGATGTAGATTGAGTGACGATGGTGCAGACTGAGTGATGATGGTACAGACTGAGTGATGATGGTGTAGACTGAGTGATGATGATGCAGACTGATGATGATTGTGTAGACTGAGTGATGACAGTGCAGACTGAGTGATGATTGTGTAGACTGAGTGATGATGGTGTAGACTGAGTGAAGATTGTGTAGGCTGAGTGATGATAGCGCAGATTGAAAGATGATGATGTAGATTGAGTGATGATGGTGTAGACTGAGTGATGATGTGTAGACTGAGTGATGATGATGCAGACTGAGTGAAGATTGTGTAGACTGAGTGATGAGTGCATAGACTGAGTGATGATTGTGTAGACTGAGTGATGATTGCATAGACTGAGTGACGATGATACAGACTGAGTGATGATGGTGTATAGACTGAGTGAAGATTGTGTAGACTGAGTGATGAGTGCATAGACTGAGTGATGATTGTGTAGACTGAGTGAGGATGGTGCAGATTGAAAGATGATGATGTAGATTGAGTGACTATGGTGCAAACTGAGTGAGGATGGCCATCATGGCAGATGAAGGACTGAGGGGAGAGAACATAGAGGTGCGCAGAAATCTGCATGAGATTCCTGCAGCTGCAGAAGCAAATGACCTCATGCTGGGTGGCTTAAAACAGCACATTCATTCTCACCAATTATGGAGTCAAGAAGTAAAAAATCAGTTTCACTGGGCCCAAATCAAGTTGTTGGTGGGGCCATACTCCCCACTGGAGGCTCTAGGGGAGAATTCATTCCTTACCTCTTCCAGCTTTCTGTGGCTGCTGCCATTGCTTGGCTTGTGGCCGCATCATTCTAATCTCTCTTCCATCTTCACATCATCTCGGTGTGAGTCAAATCTCTCTTTCTCTTTCTCTTTCTCTTTCTCTTTCTCTCTCTCCTTCTCTTGAGACAGGGTCTTGCTCTCTCACCCAGATTGGAGTGCAGTGGTGTGATCATGGCTTACTGCGGCAGCTTCGACCTCCCGGGTTCAAGTGACCCTCCCACCTCAGCCTCCTGAGTAGCTGGGACTACAAGCATGCACCCACCATGTCCAGCTAATCCTTTTTTTTTTAACAGAGATGGGGTTTCACCATGTTGCCCGGGCTGGTCTTGAACTCCTGGGCTCAAGCATCCTCCCCACTCGGCCTCTCAAAGTGCTCAGATTACTTTGGGTGTGTGAGCCACCACACCCAGCCTCCCTCTGCTTCTTTCTTATAAGGACATTTGTGATGGCATTTAGGACCCACCTGGATAATTCAGAATAATCTTCCTAAGTCAAGATCCTTAATAACCTCTGCAAAGACCCTTTTTTCAAGTAAGGTCACACTTACAAATCCCAGAGATCTTTGGGGGGGGCATTTTTCAGCCTCTCACAAAATCATCTGGCTAGTAGTATCCCTGCCAACCTACCCATCCACACACCCTCCCAAATTTGAGCAAGACTCTGCAAGGGAGCAGAACCCTTTATCTGCAGCTTCATCAAAGTTACAGAAAGGCAGATTTCAGGGCATTGCAGGAAGCTTTTTGAAAGGCACCTCAAAATGCAGTGAGCCACCTGCCCTCAGAGCTATGGCCGGATGTCTGTGATGGAGATTCCCACACTGGTCAAGAGGTGGATTTGATACAATGCTAAAGATTCCCTTGCAACA
The DNA here is from genome assembly GCF_000001405.40 of Homo sapiens. Taxonomy (NCBI): domain Eukaryota; kingdom Metazoa; phylum Chordata; class Mammalia; order Primates; family Hominidae; genus Homo; species Homo sapiens. Next base: position 231,012,966 of record NC_000001.11, read on the forward strand.
TTTAAAGAAAGCCACTCTAATGCTTCCCTGTTTTCCAGAAGTCACCTTACTTGGACACCTTTGACAGAGAAACCAAGCAAACACCTGCTCTAGAGCTGAGCATTTACCATCTATCTATGGTCCTTAATTTGCATTCAAGGTCAGTACCTGACTCATTTACATTCTGCAAACAAATATGACTACTTGTCCTTCTCACAGCCAGCGCTGCTTGTGCTGATTTTATACGTGGTTTCATCTTATCTGTCCTGCCCTTGTATTCCCTTTGTCCTAATTCTAAACCCACAGTTCTTAAAATTGCATTTGGTGTTATATGAATTTTATAAAGCATCCTGGAATAATTTTAGGAACAAAGGGTACGTAAATAATATCAATCAATTTAATAAATGTATGATAAAACATAGCTCTGGTCTAGAACATGTCTCCTACCCTATGGGGCATTTTTGGACTCTTTCTCCAGCACCAAGTGGAGACAAGTTCAACTTCCAGGTCTTATGTTGGAGCTCCTTCCAATTTGAGCTTTCTGCACATGAAAATGAGTTGGTAAGGGTGGCTGAGCCTGTACAGGTTTCTGACCAATGAGACAGTCATTCAGGGTGTGTCTGATAGAAGCTTGTCAAGAGAAGTCACTTGATGATGGTGTATGACTGGAGGGGTATTGAGCTGAACCTGCCTTTCCTCATGTTTCTGCCAGAAAAGGCAAACAGAGCAAGAACTTTGGGGATCAGTCCCAAAAAGGACCAGTACCCAGTTGAGAGGTTGCTGGTCATGACATGCTTGTAATCACAGTTAACTGTGAGTTGAGCCTGGTTAGTGAGCACCCACCCTCATTCTCCAGACCTCTCCATCTAGATTCCTGAAGCACGTATGCACAGGGACACACCAAACAAACAGGTAGGATTGCTAGCTTGCCCTGCAACCTCAGATCCCTGGGGCCTTCCTACCATTGTGCTGGACTTAGGAATTTCTAACGAGCTTTCTTTCCACTTTAACACAATGTTCCATATACCATCTTTAAAAAAAAAAAAAATTATTTAGGCTGGGCGCAGTGGCTCACGCCTGTAATTCCAGCACTTTGGGGGCCAAGGCGGGTGGATCACTTCAGGTCAGGAGTTCAAGACCAAACTGGACAACAGGGTGAAACCCCATCTCTACTAAAAATACAAAAAAACTTAGCCGGTCCTGGTGACACGTGCCTGTAATCCCAGCTACTCAGGAGGCTGATGCAGGAGGATCGCATGAACCCGGGAGGCGGAGGTTGCAGTGAGCCAAGATCGCGCTGCTGCACTCCAGCCTGGGTGGCAGAGCAAGATTCCGTCTTAAAAAAAAAATTTATGTATTTGTTTTTTGAGTCAGCATCTTGCTCTGTCGCCCACGTTGGAGTGCAGTGGCACAATGTCGGCTCACTGCCACCTCCACCTTCCGGGGCTCAAGAGAACCTCCCACCGCAGCCCCCTGAGTACTTGGGACTACAGGCATGCACCACCATCCCTGGCTAATTTTTGTGTATTTTGTAGAGAAGGGGTTTTACCACGTTGCCCAGGCTTAGATACCATCTTAAATGGTCTCCTCTTTCACCCTTTCTCCCTGAGCCCCACTCTGACATCTCATCATCCTAAGGGCAAGAAAAGAAATAAAATGAAAGATAAGGTGCTCTTTTTCCTTAACTAGAACAAAACTGATCAAAGTTGTTGAGTCCTAATTTCCCATCTCTTAGGCTGTGCCCTGGAGGAACTGGGGAGAGCTCTCTGGCTGTATGGTGACTGTTCCTTTTACCATGCCTATTTATAATGCAAGCGCCCCTCCCACCAAAATCTACTTTCCTGATATAATGGTTTCTGGGGCTCCATTCCTCACTAAGCTTATTAGAGCTTCTCTATCTTGGAGATAGAATGGGAAACATTAAGATGGGGCCATTGAGCTTCTCCCTGAAATTGAGGACACAAAATTTTCCAGTTAGCATTTACCACTGTCCTCTCCTTGACTTGGGCATCTGCATCCTAGGCTATAACATCTTCCTTAGTATTGCTTCATGCTTTTATTTTTGCTAAGATTGCTTTGCTGGCCTTGCTCAACATTTTTTGTTGTTGTTGTTGTTGTTGTTGTTTTGAGACGGAGTCTCGCTCTGTCGCCCAGGCTGGAGTGCAGTGGCGCTATCTCGGCTCACTGCAACTTCCACCTCCTGGGTTCAAGCGATTCTCCTGCCTCAGCCTCCCGAGTAGCTGGGACTGCAAGTGTCTGCCACCACACCCAGCTAATTTTTGTATTTTTAGTAGAGACGGGGTTTCACCATATTGGCCAGGCTGGTCTCGAACTCCTGACCTTGTGATCCCCCCGCCTCGGCCTCCCAAAGTGCTGGGATTACAGGTGCGAGCCACCGCACCCGACCTTTGCTCAACATTCTATAGATGCCGAGCTTGTTTGTTTAAGTTCTCCAGGGGATCAGTCAGGAGAACTAGGTAGGAAGCTGGGCTTTAGGAACTTGTCTTTACTTTACCAGTGGCCAGAGAAGTTGGGAGGGCTGAGGTACGGTGGAAAAGTAATGCATTCCTATCACAATTGGCTAGAACAGAGGGATCAGCCAGGCTGTTTGGTGAAGCTGTTTCCAAGGCCCATACTAGGTGGCGGGAAGGCCCACACTCCTGTAGCTTTTTCACTCTCATGAAACCGTCATCCAGCAGGGGTCAGCTGTTCATCAGGTGCAACTTCCAGATGTTATCTTCCAGAGGTTATCATAACCTCTATTACCTCCCAATAGAATAAATCTCTCTGAGCTGAAAATATACTCAATCATGAAGACAAGAAGACCGTACATGCTTGGAGGTTTAGATTTTTGAAGTTTTCTTTGGGCAGAAAGATGACATGAAATGGCCAACTCACCTACGGCGAAGTGACTTAAGATGCTGTAGAGCCTTCCCATCATCTACACACTTGGCATATATTCCTAACAACAGGATCTGAAAGAAACTAGGCCTGTCCACATGGAAGTCAGACCAAGATTTGATTTTTTTTAAATTACACAATAAATCATTAAATAGTAAAGCACTGTCACATAAGATTAAAGGGTTATACTCGACAATCTCTCTAGATTATATTGCAGCACTTGCCTGTGCCTTAAATGCAGACGGAGCACAAACTGCATCTGAGAAGGAACTCCAGCTCTGCCTGTATTTAGCCATGACCTTCAGCAAATCATTTAACCTGTGTTTTCATGATAGAAATGAAAATGTCCACTTGAACCCAGGAGGCAGAGGCTGCAGTGAGCCAAGATCGCGCCACTGCACTCCAGCCTGGTAACAGAGACTCTGTCTAAAAAAAAAAAAAAAAAAAAAAAAGGCAATGAAAATGTTTTATGAAATACAACACTAGACATAAAAGTCTGGGTGGGAGTTTGATTATGCCACTCTGTCAGGCTTCTCACTCTTCCTTGTAAAGAACTTATGCATCCTTCAAAGCTGACTCAGATGTTATTATGGTAATACTTAACCATATGGGTTGGGCTGTTTGTGTAACTGCCACATCTGCCCAAGGCTCTTCATGTTATTCTTGGTGCCTGGACCAATGTGACCCGGAGAAGTGCTAAATTAAATATTAGTTGAAAAAGTTATATCAGCCTAGGTTGGGACAAATGAAAGCGACAAGTCGATTAGTTGAATACGAATTCTACTAGGGACACAGAGGAACTGCACCTTATCTGTGGATTGCAAGGCTTGAATTATTAACAATTCTGGGTTCACTGCACATATGCTGTGGAAAGCTATCGACTCTGCTTTGACTACTATGTGCTTTGCCTTACAGAATAAATCATGGTTCTTTCAGCTTTCATCAGTTAATGCGGGATTGCCTTACCATCTCTCTGTTGGGCACTGAGTATAACCTCAAGAATAGCAGAGAAAGTCCCACTCTGAGGTGGCAATAATATGATTTATACCAGGTGGCAATAAAGGACACCTTTTATAAAGAAATTATATTACAAAACATTTTATAGTTTTGCAAATATTAAATTCCTTGCCAAGCTGTATTCACATTATACTTGGAGTAACAGTTTCGGGTTATTTACATGTTTTAAGTGGAGTACCAAGAAATGTGGTGGTTATTGTATACACGTGCATCTTCATCATAGGAACGAGGAATGTGCTGGCCCTTCCCAGCAGCAAGGGAGAGGCCCCTGGCCTGCCTCGACTCATTCCACTTCTAACTCTGACAGACTATCCAGCAATAGTGAGATGAAAGCCCCAAAACTCAAAAGCACAATGAATCACTGCAGTTCCAGAACAGCCTAGAGGCAGCAACCCAGGGAAGGGAGCCATTCTGAACCATGAGTTCCCCCAAGCCTGAACTTGTCCTTCGAGCTTCACTCCCTTGCTATTGTTGACCCATTCTGAAAGGACTGGGGTCTCCTAATCATGCCCTGGGGCCCACTCTTCCGCAGTGCTGAAGGAGATCCTGGTAGCCCTCTATGGAGAGGTGGTCTCCAAGTGCTAGGCACTGGGCCGACAGAAAGCTGCTTCCCAAGCTTTGTGAAAGGAATCATCAGAGGCATCTTAAGAGGCAGGGGCTGATTCAGCAAGGCTGGGGTGCTTTGAGATTGTCCATGTCTGATCTACGCACCACGCTTTGAACACTATGTAGCTGAAGGACTGTATCTCAACATTTCTACACATTAGAATCACCTGGGAGGCTTCCTCGATCCATAGAGGCGCCCACGCCTCACTCCTACTTAAATCCAGACTAGGCATGCAGGGTGCTGGAGCCCAGGCATCAGTATTTTTCTTTTTTTTCTTTTTTTTGAGATGGAGTCTCACTCTGTCACCAGGCTAGAGTGCGGTGGCACGATCTCGGCTCACTGCAACTTCTGCCTCCTGGGTTCAAGTGATTCTCCTGCCTCAGCCTCCCGAGTAGCTGGAACTACAGGCACGCACCACCATGTCTGGCTAATTTTTGTATTTTTAGTAGAGACGGGGTTTCACAATGTTGGCCAGGATGGTCTCAATCCCCTGACCTTGTGATGTGCCTGCCTTGACCTCCCAAAGTGCTGGAATTACAGGCGTGGGCCACCGCGCCCAGCCCTAGGCATCAGTATTTTTCTAAACATTCCCCAGGTGATTCTTAAAGTGGCCAGGTTCAAGAACAGCTGATCTAAAGGTTCAACTCACTGTAAGCATGGAACAGCCTCAAAGGAACTTCCTGCAAGTGATCCAGACTTAACTCTGTTGGTCTTAACTGCTTTTAATTTTCTTGTCCCCACTGACCAGTTATGTGCTGAAGGCAATTAATTGCCACCTCTCATTTTAACTCCTTTCAACAGAGGAAATAAGCAGGCGTATTCCTCCTTCTCTGTATCTCACCCCAGTTCCTGACCCAGGGTGTACTTGACAGGTTAACACTTGGCGATGCATGACATTGAGGTGCCTTCCTCTCCCTAACCTGAAGGACGCTCTAGTGAGCAATTATCACACCAAAAGAAAGATGAAGGAGTCTGCAGCATTCAAAGACAGAAGAGCAGCCAGGCATGGTGGCTCACACTTGTAATCCCAGCACTTTGGGAGGCCGAGGCGGGTGGATCACGAGGTCAGGAGTTCAAGACCAGCTAGGACAACACAGTGAAACCCCATCTCCATTAAAAATACAAAAATCAGCTGGGCGTGGTGGCAGGCGCCTGTAATCCCAGCTACTCGGAAGGCTGAGGTGGGAGAATTGCTTAAACCCAGAGAGGCAGAGGTTGCAGGGAGCCAAGATCGTGCCACTGCACTCCAGCCTAGGCAGCAGAGCTAGACTCCGTCTCAAAGAAAAAAAAGAGCACTGAGAACCAGCTGTAAATGGTGATCTACTCTTGCTAAAACGATTCCTTAAGCTCAACAGAGTCAATCTTGTTTCAAATGCATTTAGTGGCAGAAAAACAAACTAATTTTCTTTCATTATTTGACTGGACTCAATGCATTCAAGTCATGAAAGTTGATGATTCCAAATTCAGAATAAAATAACACATGACACAGATAGTTTAGCATTTTATCCTCATTTTTAACCTACAAAGTGTAATGTTCTCATAAAGTATTTTAATAAATATATTAAGGCTTAAGGTAATTACTGGTTTGAGTGGCGGGTGGTTTGCTTTCTAGCACACTAGTTTACATTCGGAATCTTAAAAATGAAAACATTTGCCATCTTACAGTGAGTGATACATCACATTGGCTTGCCCCAGTTTTTGTGTTCTTTTTTTTTTTTTCACTATTCAACATGTCTTCGTATTATCTTCCTTCCTCTCGTATCTGATAGACAAAGAATGATATAAAATTTTGGTTGAAAAAAGCCAGTTGATTGGGATGACTAGAAATGTTAACTTTTTCAGTAAAAAGCTTTCACCGAATCACTGGGCAGTTAGTAATGCAGCTTACAAATAAATAAAGCTGAGGCGAGAGGTTTAAACAGCAAGAAAAGCTGCAGAGCATATTGAGGAAGGGAAGCAGTGAAATGGTGGTTTTAATACATCCCAAACTGGAAGCAAGAACCCTAACACAAAGAGGATTGGAATACTCTACCATCTGTAAGGAAGTAGCTAGCTACAAGCCACCTCACACAAAACACCCACTAAGGCCTTTCACCGAGATCCTCTTGTTATATTCTCATTATGAATCCCCAGCAGGTGCACCTCAATAAATAGGTGTGGAGGATACTGCTGAGGACCTCTAGGTCACCTAAGCAGAAACTGCTGCCATCAAAGCAGACTGCCACCATGCATCCGCGGAGAACTCCCTGCCTACAAATGAAACTGGTAGCGCTCATCCCCTGTGCCCGAGGACCGTCCACAACGGAGGTGCTTTCTTGCAAGAGAAGCAGCAAATGATGACAGCGTGTCCAGTAGGAAGGGCTTCCCAACAGTCACATCCCTCCCAAGACCCTCTAGATGGACTCCAGAATCCAGTCGCTGCTGGAGAGGGAGGAGACAGGCAGTGACAAGTCCCGAGGAGGGCCTCGGTCCCTCCTGTCGTGCAGGGAGTTCTGCTCCTGGAAATATTCCTCCTCTTCATCGAAGAAGCCGTTCTCCAGAGCGTAAGTGCAGTCTGGGCTGGAGGCTGCCTGGCATGCCCCCTTGTACTCCTGAATCGACTCGTAGAGGCTGTACAGTTGGCAGAGCAAGGACATGTCCAGCTGGCGGAGACCAACCTTGAGGGAAGGGGTGGGGAGGTAAAAAACGAGAAGTCAGCACTTGAGTTTAATTTCAGTGGAACACTCAGCCGGCGATCTGCGCCTGCCAGCACATTCCTTCCACACGGCGCATGATTCAGAGCATCACTCGGATGCTTTGGATTTCCAGTTTTGAGAACACCTTAATTGTGTTATGCCCATACCTCAGACGTTACTCATTGAGTCCAGTGAGGATCGCATCTGTGGGGCAACCAGGGCAGCCTGCAGAATTTACCCTGGCGCTCCTGAGTGTGCCTGATGAAGCAACAGCACTGCATATTCTAGTGGCCCCACCTGCTTTCACTTTGGACGCCAAGAAACGAGTGTGTCACTTCCTCTCCCAATCAGACTCGGAGAAGACCCACATTGGCCTTCCCTGCTACTGCGTTAGGATCTGACTGATGCAGTCATTCTCAACTCCCAGGGGCAACAGAATGCCCTTTGCCAGTGACAGCAGCTGGCCAACGTGACATCCCCCTGGAGCACCCACCTCTGTGCAGTTCAGTGGTCAGAGGTTACACTGCCTCCCTCTCCTCCAGGCAGGGTCAGTCTTATCCCAGATGGTTCTGGGATCCCTCCCCAGAGTAACTGACTGAATATGAGGAAGCCCTGGAAGATGAAGGGCTCTACAGTTCCTCCTGAAAACTAGCCCCACAAAAACAAGCAGCAAAAGAACACAGAACATTTATAAAAGTCATATACTTGTTTATCTTCCAGTTCCTCCCTCCCCCACCACCCATCCCAGAGAAAAGAGCACGGTCACAGTCAGAACAGGAAATGCATCGTTTACACCAATACCAAAGAGAGAACAGTTAAGCCTCTTGGAAATGCAGCATAGACCAGCATCGGTGCCTCTTAACCTTTAAAGTGCATGAGAACCACCCGGGGATCTTGTTCAACAAGCAGACTCTGATTCAGTGGGTCTGGGGCCACTGGATGGCTGTGCTTCCACCAAGCCCCTATGGTGATTCCGTGCTATGCTGCTGTTCCACAGACCCTGCTCTGAATGGCAACGGGAAGAAACTCAAGAAGACACCAGGGGACCTGCCTTCGGCTTCTTGGCCCCTGAGCAAGGTATTTATCACCTTCATCTCCGTGCCTTGGTTGATGGCAAAATGGAACAATAATTTCTCTTATGGAGCTATTAGGGCAATTCAATATCAATCCACTCAATAAACAGGATTCTAATGCCTCCCGGGCTAAAGCACTAAAGATGCATGGGTACAGCTCTCCTGGGCGGCTGGAGAAGGAGCTTCTTCTCTGGAGTGCGCCGGTGGCAGCGCCTGCAGACCTAACTAGCTCCAGGACTTTAAAATACTGGAAATCTGTCCCGATCCAAATTCTTTTGCAAGCCAGATGATTAACCAGAGGGCACGAAAGGTTGAGAACATTCGACTTCCCTGCAAACCTTGGTATAGATCACTTCCTTTTCTGTTAGGAAACGAAAGGCACCAAAGAGCACAATGAGTACAAGAAAGCGTCGAGGTGGAGCAATAAATTCTAGACAAGCCCAGAAGCGAACACGGGAAGCAACCTCCACCCCTGAGATTTCCTTGGAAGCAGAACCCATAGAACTCGTGGAAACTGCTGGAGATGAAATTGTTGACCTCACTTGTGAATCTTTAGAGCCTGTGGTGGTTGATCTGACTCACAATGACTCTGTTGTGATTGTTGACAAAAGAAGAAGACCAAGGAGGAATGCTAGGAGGCTGCCCCAGGACCATGCTGACAGCTGCATGGTGAGCAGTGACGATGAGTTGTTGTCCAGGGACAGAGACGTGTATGTGACTACCCACACTTCCAGAAACACCAGGGATGAGGGCGCTATAGGCCTCAGGCCCTCGGGTACTGTCGGTTGTCCTATCTGCATGGACAGATATTCAGAGATCGTGCAGAATAGACGTCTCATCGTTTCCACAGAATGTGGCCATGTCTTCTGTAGCCAGTGCCTCCGTGATTCCCTGAAGAACGCTAATACTTGCCCAACTTGTAGGAAAAAGATCAACCACAAACAGTACCACTCCATTCATATATGAAGTATTCAGAGACGCCCAGGAGAGACGGATGGACAATCAGGTTCTCCAGTGGTATCTGCCTCCATTTTCCTGAGCTCAAAAAGACTGTTTTGAAACCCACGTCTGATATGTAAACTGCTCTTTTGTTTCCAACCCCTTCCTTTTGTTATCTCCAGTTTGATGCTATGGCGCTGGACCCAGGGCCCTCCCAGGCCATCTCTGTTCCTCTGGGGTGGTCCAGTTCTAGAGTGAGAGAAAGGGAGTCAGGCACACTGGGAATCGTGGTTCCAGTCTGGTTGCAGAACCTGCACATTTGCCAAGAAATTTTCCGTTTGGAAAGTTTGCCCCAGCTTTCCCGGGCACACCACCTTTTGTCCCAAGTGTCTGCCGGTCGACCAATCTGCCTGCCACACATTGACCAAGCCAGACCCGGTTCACCCAGCTCGAGGATCCCAGGTGCAAGAGTGGCCCCTTGAGGCCCTGAAAAGACCAATCACTGGACTTCTTCCCTTGAGAGTCAGAGGTCACCCGTGATTCTGCCTGCACCTTATCATTGATCTGCAGTGATTTCTGCAAATCAAGAGAAGCTCTGCAGGGCAATCCCGTTTCCTAAGAATGAAAAAGTGCAATAAAGGCCATTCGTTACCTACTTTTCAGCAGCCCACCAGATGTAGCACTATTAGTGTCCCCCTCAGAGGCTTAATGTTGCCTGTGGAGCAGTGCCCATCCCAGCCCATTTCTGCCCACCAGTTGTTCTCAGGAACCTTACCCATGCTCCAGCGTCCTTCACCTGGCACAGGACATGCAAGATAAATAGGACAGGCACATGTTTGGGTGTCCTCTCTTTTCTGATAAAATCCATCCGGTGTTTGCCACACGCCCTCCAGTCCTCAGTTCCCACTGCCTAACATCTGCCCCCCGTGTAGATACTGAGAGGTGGTGGCAGTAATTGTGGCCTTATCAGCCGCTCAGTTCCAGCCTTTTGCCCAGGTCACTGTTGCCCCATGTTCGGAGAACCTGGCCCACCTGACTTGGCTTTCTCATCCTTCCCAACCCCGTGCCGTTTATTTCAGAAGCCCACTGGGCTTGGATGCTTTGGGCCTTTGACTGCTCCATAGGTTATGACTGGTGAAACAGGGGCCCAGAGGACAACCTCTCCTTCACTCCACAGGTAGGTGGGAGCCTCAGGTTCGCTCAGGGGCAGCAAAGTGGCCCAAGCTGCCCCTGACAGCACAGGGCCTGGCGGTGGCTAACGAGAGAGGCCTTACAGTGCCGGCATGCCTCCTCTTCCGCTGCCCTCCTTCCTCAGAGGGCTTCAAGCAAAACAAACAGCCTTTTCGTGTGAAACATCTTCAGGGTGGGAAAGGGGCCACTTCTGGCTTTGTTAGCAATAACTGACCTTCAGTTTACCCTTCTGAAGGAGAAGGGACTCAGCACAGAATTCACTTTAGACGGGGCTGAAGGAGTGTCCCTCCTCTATGTGAAAAGAAAATTGTTTTATTCTTCATTCTGACTTTTTAACTGTTTGGCTCACTTCCAGTTAGTTTGAATGAAAATAATAATTTTCTACTTGGAGTTGAAGAGGGCAGAATCCTCAGCTCCCATCATTGTGATGTGTAGCGTGTCTGCCCCCTGACTGGACATCATTGCCATTAACTTTCTTCTGGGCATCACGGGAATGTCACAATGCCCAGACTTGGAGCAAGGCAACCTTGGAGTCAGTCCACTAATAAAATATGGTAACACCCATTTTAAAATTTCTTTAAGTTTTATCCTTGAAGACAACTTCAGTGGTTAATTATAAAAGTTGTGTACTTCGTCCTAAATTAAATTGATAAAAAGATTTAAAAATGTGTTTTGTTTCTACTATTCAGAAACTGCAAACTAGGGAAAGGTTGGTATGAAAAAATGTCTTTCCTTTTTTCAATGTACATAGTTCAACTCTTTCTTTGTTACATTTAAACTACATCCATGGATATCAGTCTGCTTTGGACTCCTCTGCTAGTGTTAAAGATGGAAATAAAACCATTAATTTGAACCAAAAAAAAAAAAAGATGCATGGGTACGCGCATGTAGAAAAGCACACAGAAAGTGTCAGAGGATTTACAGATTTTATAATTACCGAAATGACTCGTTTACCTAGCAATAAGATTTTCCACATAAGATAGTATGGCTTTCACAAAAGGAAGCTGAGGCCTGGTAAAAAGTGATCATCTTGTAAATAGATTGGGTGTTAAATTCCAGGTTTACTCTTCATACCCTCCAACTTTTCTAAATTGCCAAGTGAACACTGGCTGTCTCTCTACTATGGCCTGAATAGACCATAAAAATCAGAACTATGTTTTATTACATTGCATGCACACACACACACACACACACACACACACATTTAGAGATGGAGTCTTGCTTTGTCACCCAGGCAGGAGTGTGGTGGTATGATCATAGCTCACTGCCACCTCAAGCTCCTGGGCTCAAGGGATCCTCCTGCCTCAACCTCCCATGCTGCTGGGACTACAGGTGCATACCACCATGCCTGGCTAATTTTTTAAAGAAATTCTTTGTAGAGATGGGGCCTTGCCATCTTGCCCAGGCTGGTCTCAAACTCCTGGGCTCAAGTGATTTGCCTTGGCCTCCCAAAGTGCTGGTATTACAGGTGTGAGCCACTGTGCCCAGCCTACAGAGCATCTTTTGCTAAGACACTCAAGAAGACTTCCAGATAGAGAGGTGGGTTCTGTTGCTACCACAACTACTCTTTTTTTTTTTTTTTTTTTTTTTTTTGAGACAGAGTCTTGCTCTGTTGCCCAGGCTGGAGTGTAGTGGTGTAATCTCGGCTCACTGCAAGCTCTGCCTCCTGGGTTCACCCCATTCTCCTGCCTCAGCCTCCCGAGTAGCTGGGACTACAGGCGCTCGCCACTACGTCCGGCTAATTTTTTGTATTTTTAGTAGAGACGGGGTTTCACCGTGTTAGCCAGGATGGTCTTGATCTTCTGACCTTGTGATCCACCCGCCTCGGCCTCCCAGAGTGCTGGGATTACAGGCGTGAGCCACCGTGCCCGGCCACCACAACTACCCTTGACACCAGAATTTCTAAACTTTCTTAGGAAGAGACCTCAGCTGCAGGTCGGGAGCGTGGTCTCCAGGCCCAGCTTTGCCGTCCTCTGTGGCTTGGTTGAGGTCCCGACCCTCTGCCAGCCTATAAAATGGGGGATTTGGGCTCGCTCATCTATGGTTAGCTCAAACACTTTGTGACCCTATATAAACTGTTGCTTCTCTGTCCTAAATGAACTGCAAGCGAAAGACAGACAGTTTCCAGTACTGTACTCAGGAGCAAACTTTATTCAATGGCATCTCAAAAGCATACCTTGAATAGGCAAGCAATGGGCAACTTAAGAGATGCCCAGGCCACCACACCCTAAGGCAGACACCACTGCTTGCTCTTTTTCTTGATTAGAGTTCGAAAGGATGTGTGTCTGTCAAGAGGGAGGGAAACAGCATATCTGGCATTTGTGTTTTAAAAATTATCCATAGTTTGGGAATTTTCTATTAAAAAAAGGAGAGACAGGGAAAGAAAGAAGGAAGAAAGGAAGGAAGGGAGAGAAGGAGGGAAAGAAAAGTCAGTCAGTTTAGGAATTTTCTATTGAAAAAATAAATAAATAATACAAAAAGTACCCAGATGATGCTGATGCTCAGTTCCAGCAAAGAACCAGTGATCTTGACACAAATATCTTTCTGATTTTCCTGGGCCACTTATATTTATTATCCTGTAAGCCTGGAATTTCAGGCCAGCCAAGCAGAAGAGCACAGAATTAAAAGTGCAGGCTCTGGAACCTGCCTACCTCCCTGCCTGGGTTCAGATCTTGGCTCCGCCACTCACCAGCTGAGAAACTGTGGATAAATTGCTCAGCTCCTAAAAAAAAAAAAAAAAAATCAATAGCCTCTATTCTCATTGTTAGTATTTCCATGGTTTCTTTTCCACTCTGCTAGTGGGCAGACTCACCTCAGGAAGGAGCAGCAGGTACAGCCAGGCTCTGAAAACAGAAGCGCCCCATCCCACTGTGTTCCTCCCGCTCCTCTCCCAATCCAGCACTGAGGTGGTACATGAGAAGGAACCAGATGGTCACCTTCGCTCAGAAGACAGCCAGCATAGTCAGGCAGGGTGACAACGTGCCAGTGACACTGCCTCATGAGGAAGGGAAACTCTCAAATAGGAAAAGACTTGGGATATCTTACCTCAAACCCCAAAAGGAGGACCTTCCAAACCACTGCACTCCTCTCCAAACCAATACGATTATTTTATACAAAGTCAAAGCCTCCCAGCCTGGAGGCCCCACAGAGCCCTTGATGCTGGGTGTGACAGCTGAGCATCCAAACAGATCTAATTTAACTCTCTCCTAACTACTACCCTTTAATCTGAAGGTCATTTACTTTCCACCACCCCATGCCCTAAAACAAAAACCAAACCTGTGTTCTTCTCTCCAAGCTAAATATCTCAGGCCCTTCCCCTATTTTCATTATGACCTCTCGTCCACTAACACCCGTGGCCTTTCCTCTAGACTTACTCCTGTTTTCCAGGATTCCTCTGCAGAATTGCATCTGGATGCCATCAACATGCCCCCAGGAGTCTGACTCGGCCAGCTCTGACGTCCCTATCTTTGCTAGGATTTCATAAAAGAAATAATAACTTTAATCGAGAAAGCCACACTCTCTCGGGGTCACATAGTATGTGCTCAAAAACCATGGAAGAAGATCATCTGGAATCCTAGATCTACTCTCCTGCTGAGTCCCTCTGACACCAGTAGGGTGGGTAAACCCAAGACTCGATTTCTTACCCCAGGAATGAATAATGGAAAAACACCTAAGTAGCAGTGGGCACCCTGGTATCAGAGCAGGTCTGCTTTTCTCCTTCCTGGGATGGTTTGAGGTCGGCCCAGGTAAACACAGGAGCCTGAACGCTTCTAGGTTTCAAAGGCTCTGACTCCCCATGACCCCATTCCAGCCAGACACGTGGCTCCAGGCTTTTCTCCTGACAGTGCCATTTCCAAGGTATTCCCAGGCCCACCGAGGTGATGCACCCGGCAGGGAGTCGAAAGCAAAGAGGATCTCTCCCTGGACACTTCTGCACTGTAGCACCCAGATGACTCACAAAGCTGCCTTGTCGTCAGGTGGAACACTGGCCTAGAAAGGAATCCTGACCGCCTAGGAATACAGCGCAGCCCCGCACACACCTATTACACAACCCGACACATGGCAAAAGTTCAGACGGATTTAACAAGGATTAGACGCACACACATACATATGCACACGCACACACACGCCTACACACCTCCCAGCCTCTCAATGCCACTGTCTTCAGGCACCAGACTAAACTTCCTGATTTACCAGAAATCCTCTAAATCAGCTCGGAGGACATAAGGTAAGTCACTGCACAGTAAACCAGACTTCCTAGCCCGGGCCCCTCTTCCTCAGCTGTGGCTGTTTAAACAGCGACACTTAACATTTTCTAGAGGGAGGTGGAAGATCCGTAGGCAGCACTCCACCATCTGGTCTGACTGTTCTTCAGGCTTACGCCCTTGACTCCCAACCTGCACAGCCCCGACTGTCCCCCATGACACCCTCATCCCCACTGCATCTGTGAATGCTCCTCGACCACCCGCCCTGTACCTGATTCCCTCCACTCTTCAGACTGTGATTGGTTCAGCCAGTGTTCATCCTTTGCCCTCGGCGTCTCCACCTGTCTTAGGACATTTACTACTCTCTATATTATCGGTGTGCACACAGGTCTTCTCTCTCCTGACACAGGACAAGCTCCATGAAGGCAAACACCATTTCCCTTTTGGATCTCTCAGCACCCAGCCCAGAAACTCAGAGCAGACAGGCAGATATTTGGTGAATCAGTGAAAACGCCTGGCTGCAGAGATCTCACCCTCCCAGAGAACACGTAGCCGCAGAAGTGGCCTGGCAGTGGGGTGGTGCTGGCACCCACAGACCCTCTGGCTGCATCCCTCGGGCAGTCACAGAGGTGCAGACTGAACGGGCAGCCGCCGAGTGCCCTGTACACAAGGTGTCCCTGTGGGAAGCATCAGACCACTGAGTCCCCGCGTGCCTCCCATCACATCAAGGGCCAAAGACACCCAACCAAGTTTCCTCCAGGAGCGCTCTTTAGAGGGCAGATCTGGTGGTCAGTCTCTCTACACTGAAGGTATGTGGGTCTTGGATGCAGGAAGGGGAGAGAGCAACCATCCAAAAGGACTTGATTGCAAGACATGGTTAAGTCACCATGAACAAGAACTTCTCACCCTTCCAGAAAAAGAGTGGCTGGGGAGCCGCCGAGCAAGCCACTCTCCGAGCAGAAGCAGCCTGGATCTCAACGGTGTGTTCTCGCATGCCCTTGGAGGACGGCTGGTCTCCACATTCACAGCTGGATTCAGAAAATACAGCTCTCTTTTGAAAGCACACGTTTTGAAAATGCAGACAGGCTCATTTAAGAAAAACATGGAATGCTCAAACCCTGCAATTTGTGGTCCCTTATTCTCCACTTTAAATTCAAGAACAATCAGCAGCTTCCATGGCCGTAAACTGCGAGCGCAGGTCCTTCCGCTCTCTGCTCAGGCTTCCTGCTTCCTTCCTGATCATTCACTCCTCTTCTCCCATGCCCAGAGCTCCCCTCCACCCCTCCCGCAACACACACAGGTGGCCCCGAGAGCCACAGCATTCCCAACAATGGGGCCAAACAAGCCCAAACCACCCTTGAAACTGCTTCCTTTCACTTGGGATTTTCAAAACAGTAGGCTCCACATACAAATACACTCCAGACAGGGCGGTGGCTCCCAGCTGGGTGTTAAGTCACTGAAAGTCTCTGAGTATCTCTGGAGGCTGCATGGGGGAGAGAGTTCTTCCTAACTTAAAGCAAGGACAATAGAAATATGACCACTAGGAAACAAGGCTTAAAAGATGAGAGGAACCTTTAAAAGGAAATTTGTGTTGATTTAAACCAAAACATCATGAAAAATGTTAAGATTTTTTTAGAAATTAAAAAACTGCCATTTGCAGATTACAGGCTCACGCCTGTAATCCCAGCACTTTGGGAGGCTGAGGCAGGAGGATCTGCTTGAGCCCAGGAGTTCCAGGCCAGCCTGGGCAAGATGACGAGACCCTCATTTCTACAAAAATATTTTAAAAATTGGCTGGGTGTGGTGGTACGTGCCTGTGGTCCCAGCTACTTGGGAGGCTGAGGTGGGAGGTTCACTTGAGCCCAGGAGGTTGAGGCTGCAGTGCGCTGTGATCGCACCACTGCACTCCAATCTGGGCAACAGAGCAAGACCCTGTCTCAAAAAAAAGAAAAAAAAAAAGAATGACAAAGGCCCTTGCCTAAGGCCATCTAGTCAGTGGCAGAGTGGGGAGGTGACCAGATCTGCAGGACTCTGAAATGGGTGCTTTGACAATCACCCTGCACTGCCTGTACAGGGAAGATGAAGAGAGAGGCCCCAGTCTCAGCAGTGGTATAGCAACCTGCTTGGATCACAGGCCATTTTTATTCCTGGCTTTTCTGAATTTTCTAAGTTTTCTATTGTGAAAATGTATTAACAATGAGAAAACTTTCACAGTTATCTTTTAAAAACACAATGAATGAGTAAGTATATACAGATGGCTCACAAATTTATTTTAAAGACTTGGTAAATGCCCCAAATCTAATCACAGTGTCTAGTTTATATCCACAGGCCTGGACTGTAATTGAAGAAAGCAGAGATCCAATCGATTATAACCTGATTTCTGATAAAAGATATGTTGACTGAAGGATGCTGCCCTGCATAGTGTTTAGAAAAAGCCGAAGAGAGACTTCATCAGTGTTGATGCAGTTGGAGACGGGCTATGAGCCCAGCTACCCAAGCTTGACAGAAACACCCTTGAAGGACTCTCAGCTCCCTGGTGGGTTCCAGCTCTGTGCTCACTAAACGGCTTCTGATGACCTGGTCTCCTATGTAGCCTTCTCCTCCCATGGGCGGAAACATATTCGTGTCATCTGGTCAGCTTCATCTCCTGTTAATATTTTAGACCTGCCAAGCTGAGGACTAGACTCTAAAGCGCCATCAGGATTCAGAGACAGAAGATAAACCGGGTTGCATGACTGTGCCCCCAGATTAACCCCCATTAAACCCAAAGCACATCCCACCTCTATACTTTCCAGGAAACTCCTCTACCAGGTAAAGCTGTTTGAATTGGATTTTCTGCTAACTTACAAGTGAGGGCATCCACACTGACACAGAGACTGTTCTGCAATTTAACAATTCTCAGAAGGACATTCTTGTTTATCTCTAACCTAAACTAACATTCATACAAACTAAGCCCATTTCCTCTTGTTCTGTCCTGGATATAGATGAAGAAAAGCAATTGACCATTTTCTTTAAGAAATGTCTTTGTACATTCTTTTATTTTTTTTCTGATTATAAAAATAAACACTCTAATTGTATTATAAATTCAAATGGTTCGTAATCATACAAACCAGTTCTCCTTAATTCCCTGTTATAAAATAGCAGACTTCAAATGTTTTGGTCTCCAAACACTCTAAAAAATTATTGAAGGTCCCAAAGAGCTTTGGTTTATGTGGGTTATACCTATCAATATTTACATTACTAGAAATTAAAACTGAGAAAATTTAAAAGTCACCAACCAGGTGAGGTGACTTACACCTGTAATTCCAGCACTGTGGGAGGACAAGACAGGTGGAGCACTTGAGCCTGAGAGTTCGAGACCAGCCTGGACAACATGGCAAAACTCTATCTCCACAAAAAATATAAAAATCAGCTGGGTGTGGTGGCATTTGCCTGTGGCCCCAGCTACTTGGGTGGCTGAGGTGGGAGGATCACCTGACCCTGGGAGGCAGAGACCACAGTGAGCCAAGATCTTGCCATTGCACTCCAGCCTGGGCAACAGAGTGAGACTCTGTCTCAATAATAATAATAATAATAATAATAAACCTATTACATGCTAACACAAATAACATTTTCATAAATCTTTTTAAATATCTGGCTTATCTGGTTCTGCATTTGGTCCTTTGTGACGTGCTGTTTTGGTTGAAGTAAATGAAGAAAATCTGGCCTCATACAGCTGTATAACTGGGAAATGAAGGAGTATTTCAATAGCCTTTTC
Source organism: Homo sapiens (assembly GCF_000001405.40). NCBI lineage: Eukaryota > Metazoa > Chordata > Mammalia > Primates > Hominidae > Homo > Homo sapiens. Next base: position 231,031,310 of record NC_000001.11, read on the forward strand.
AGACAATTGTGGATATTCCTCTTTGCTACCGCCCTTTAGTTGACTGCTGTTTAGTGTGGAATTTGGAACTATACCAATGAAATGTTCACACTCTATTACATTAAAACCCATCAGTCTTGCACTTTGAATGGATCTTTTAATATCAAGCACAGTCATATGAAAAAAGTGGAAAATTGATTCAATAAATTATGCAGGATCTTCCAAATGTTGGTACATTTTCTTATATAATAACCAAAAAGTCACATTTGTCAATATCACCATCATATAATTATGGACCCTCTGAAAGAATCTCAGGGGCCCCTAGAGGTCCCCAGACCACACTTTGAAACTGTGGTTCTTCAGATATCCACTTGTAGTAGTTTAGCATATATTCCTCAAAGCACTATGCACACTCATATTGTTTTTTCTCTACTGTTACCACATACACAAAGTTAGGTAAGTACTGTTTTGTAACTTTACACTGTGAACATCTTTCTATATACATATATAGTTACCATATTCTTTTCAACAATTGTACAGTATTCTATCACTATTATAAAAAATCCTGCAATACACATCCATGTATAAGTGCCATTATCCACTTGTGTGGATGCTTCTGTAAGGTACACTTGTGAATATGAAATTGTGGGGGACAAGGAGGACAAGGAGAGAAGAATGCCCAAGGCGCCTTTCCAATCCTCCCCAACCCCGGGCCTCAAGTCCAAAGCAATGGGAAAATGTAATGGGAAGAAAGACGTTTACCAATAAAGTGATTCAATTTGGACTACTTTTCATCACAAAATAATTTTATGTCTGTATTGGTATAAGAAAGAGTCAATAATTGGCTTTAGCTGTATGAAGATTTAACAGTCATACTGCAAACATTTTACATCCCTTTTGTGACCTAACTTAAACATATTTTAAAATTATATTGCAATTCTGCTTTGCTATTTAATAGAAAGCCATTTCAGAGTTTTTAAAAAATGCAATTACAAGGTCAAAAGACAGGCACATATTCAATTTCAGAGGTATTACCAAACTGCGCTCAAAAAACCCTGCAGCACTTTACACCGCCCCACCCCACCCCGCCCCCGCCAGCCCCCACCCCCCACCCCCAGCAATGCATGAGAAGGTTTACTTCTCCAAACCCTCACTGTGACAGGATCATGCTTTTCTACCTTTGTCAGTCTTGGAGGTACAACATGATACCTTATTGTCTTAATGTATACATCCGTGGTTATAAGGAATGTTAAACACCTTGCCACTTCTCTTTTAGCAGCATTTAATTTGGATATTTTATATCCAATTTTAATTGCAA